>NT_167246.2:479765-780907 GCF_000001405.40 Homo sapiens
TTTTTCTTAGAATTATGGCTTGAGTGATCTATTTGACACAGTTATTATTGTTAATGATTTTAAATATTTTCATCTAATTTCAAGCTTTTGGTTTTCTTTAATGTACTTTATCATTCTTCATCAAAGAAGGTCATGTAGAAATATAATGTTTCTTTTTTCTAGATGTTATTTTTACTCATGCTCTGCAAAACTTTGGTAATAAATTTTGGTTTCTGGAACAATCCATTGAACAGTTTCATCATCATGATAATTATTGCTAACTTACATTGAACAGTTACTTTGTGCCAAGAACACTTTTTAGTATTTCCCACATTTGCACATTTAATCTCTCCAACAAGCATATGTAGGTTTTTAATTTTGCTCATTTTCCAAATACAAAATCTAAGGAAAGAACTAAAGTAAGAACAAAAATGTTAACTACTTTTCCTAACATCACACAGCATGAAGGTGGCTGAGGGAGAATTCAAGCTCATCAATAACAGACAGAGTGAAAAGGAGGAATGGAGAAGAGGAGAATGAGAGAGAAAAAAGAGAAGATAAAGGGAGAAGATCCAGGGAGAGAAGAGGGGAAGCAAAAAAGAGAGAAACATGGGAGACAGAGAGTGAAATAAATCAAGATACAAGGTCACAGAGAAATAAGAGAACAAAAGAAATAGAGAAAGTTATAAAGCTAATAGGCAGTGATTAGAACTATGTAATAAATGTGGTAAATGTATACTCTTTGAGAGCACAGATGAAACACATCTAATATTTAGCAAAGTGATTTTCACTAGCAGGTGCTTACATGTATTTTATATAATATTTATAATGAACAATTTTAATCAGAGACAAAATATGAGGAAGATGTAAAAGAGGAAGAGAGAGAGTGAATGATGAATATCAAAGATTAAAGCACTTCACTAAATCTTGTATTTTTTCCCAAAATACAGCTGGTGAAAATCTTATCCTTGAGTAGAAAGGAATCAAACAAGTCATATACCACCCGTCTTCCTGTCTGTACTGGAACCATCACAGGCTTTTGAGGAACTACTTTTGAACCGTTCCCCAGAGAGGCATTTGCCCCAGTAGCTATGATTATAATTTGCAATGACAGCCACAGTGATTTCATCCTTCTGGGCTTCTCTAACAAGCCACATTTGGAGAAGATACTTTTTGGATCATTTTTATTTTTTATTTTTTGACTCTTGCAGGAAATATGGTCATAGTTCTTGTGTCCTTGAAGGATCCAAAACTCCACATCCCTATGTATTTCTTTCTTTCCAACCTTTCCTTGGTAGACCTCTGTTTGACCAGCAGCTGTGTTCCACAGATGTTGATTAACTTCTGGGGCCCAGAAAAGACCATCAGCTACATTGGCTGTGCCATTCAACTCTATGTTTTTTTGTGGCTTGGGGCCACGGAATATGTCCTTCTTGTTGTCATGGCTGTGGATTGTTATGTAGCAGTGTGTCATCCACTGCAAAATACCATGATCATGCACCCAAAACTTTGTCTGCAGCTGGCTATCTTGGCATGGGGGACTGGCTTGGCCCAGTCTCTGATCCAGTCCCCTGCCACCCTCCGGTTACCCTTCTGCTCCCAGCGGATGGTGGATGATGTTGTTTGTGAAGTCCCAGCTCTGATTCAGCTCTCCAGTACTGATACTACCTACAGTGAAATTCAGATGTCTATCGCCAGTGTTGTCCTCCTGGTGATGCCCTTGATCATTATCCTTTCCTCTTCTGGTGCTATTGCTAAGGCTGTGCTGAGAATTAAGTCAACTGCAGGACAGAAGAAAGCATTTGGCACCTGCATCTCTCACCTTCTTGTGGTTTCTCTCTTTTATGGCACTGTCACAGGTGTCTACCTTCAACCAAAAAATCACTATCCTCATGAATGGGGCAAATTTCTCACTCTTTTCTACACTGTAGTAACCCCAACTCTTAATCCCCTCATCTACACTCTAAGGAACAAGGAGGTAAAGGGAGCACTAATAAGATTGGGGAGGAGGACCTGGGATTCCCAGAATAACTAACAAGGTTAACATATGTTTACCTTTGCTTAACCTAAGAATAGAGAACAACCTCATCACAAAAAGCTGGAGATACACCTCCTAAGCCAAAAGTAGGAGAGAAAGAGCTGCATTCTGTTCAGGTTGAGATTTCAGTTTCCTTCATCAATCAATTGGGCCCTTAAATTCTTCATATTGTGGATTTAGACACAGTATGGTATAAAAATTAATATATTTAATAGCTATTGTCTTGAAAAGGACACAATGCAATTGAATGGGGGAGGAGGAGAAGACACAAGAAACACATTACTTGCAAAATAAAATACTAAGTAGTACGTTTCATGCCTTTCTATTTCGTTCTTTTTTTGTTCTATTTTCCTACAAGCTCCACCAGTGCTTTCAGTCCCAACAAGATTTCTAAAGTTTTGAGACAGAAACTTCTTGATCAACTTATATGTACCCCTATACTGTAATATGGCAGGTCTTGGTTTTAATTGCTTCTGTCTCTCTGTCTCAGCATGACCACTGTTGACCTGTAATGTGACTTTCACTATCCAATGCAAAGTGTTTGCCATGCCAAAGTCCACATTTACTGCTCTCTGGTGCTGATACTATGATGAGTGTGTGTGCAAGTTTCTCAGTTTGAGCCTTGATATTCTGGGCCCCCAGTTATAGGAATAGACTTCTGTGTTTTTCTTCATTCTGAGGCCTTATTGTAACAAAATGGCTATCTTTTTATCAGACCCAATTATTCTTTCACTTTATAGATATTTATGGCTTTCCTATTATATACCTATTATGTTTCAGATGGTAGTTATGTAATAGTAGATAAAACATATAAAATAATCAACATCGTGGAACTTATAACAATATCATCTCTTGCTCTTAGACTCTTTCACAGTATTGATATAATATTAGATTTGCCTCATTACAAAACCCATTTGTTTATTGCTTTACTCTTAGCTATTATTTGTCTTCTCCATTTACAACCAAACTTTTTCAATTTTGGAAGGAATATTAGGTTCAGCCACTGTGTTGCTTCAGATTGCAGCTAACAACACTGGTCTAGCAAGTGCTTCCCCCTCAGTTCACTCCTGTTCAGAGACAGTGACAATGTGATAGAAAATAAAAACCCATTTTCTGAGGAGAAATTCAAGCAGGCTGCAGAAATTTGCATAAGTAAGAAGGAGCCAAATGTTAATCACCAAGACAATGGGGAAAATGTCTCCAGGGCATGTCAGAGGTCTTCACAGCAGCCCCTCCCATCACAGGCCCAGAGGCCTAGGAGGGAGAAACAGTTTCCTGGGCCAAGCCCAGAGCCCCCCTGCTCTATGCAGCCTTGGGACATGGTGCCTGGTGTCTTATCTGCTTCAGCTCCATCCTTGGCTAAAAGAGGCCAAGGTACAGACCGCTTCAGAGAGTGCAAGCCCCAAGCATTGGCAGCTTCCACATGGTGTTGGTCCTGTGGGTGTGCAGAAGACAAGAACTGAGCTTTGAGAACCTCCGCCTAGATTTCAGAGGATGTATTGATGTGCCTGGATGTCCAGGAAGAAGTTTGCTGGGTTGGCAAGAGCCCTCATGGAGAATCTCTGCTAGGGCAGTGCAGAAGAAAAATGTGGTGTTGGAGCCCTTACACAGAGTACCCACTGGGGCACTGCCTGGTGGAGCTGTGAGAAGAGGGTCACCATCCTCCAGACTCCAGAATGATAGACCCACTGACAGCTTGCACTGTGTGCCTGGAAAAGCTGGAGACACTCAATGCCAGCCTGTGAAAGCAGCCAGGAGGGGAGCAAAGCCACAAGGATGGAGTTGCCCAAGGCCATGGGAGCCCACCTCTTGCATCAGCTTGACCTAGATTTGAGACATGGAGTCAAAAGAGATCATTTATGAGCTTTAAGAATTGACTGCCCTGCTGGATTTCGGACATGCATGGGTCCTGCAACACCTTTGTTTTGGCCAATTTCTCCCATCTGGAATGGGTGTATTTACCCAATGCTGTACTCCCATTGTATCTAGGAAGTAACTAACTTGCTTTTGATTTTACAGGCTTATAACCAGAAGGGACTTGCCTTGTCTCAGATGAGACTTTGGACTTGGACTTTGAGTTAATGCTGGAATTAGTTAAGGCTTTGAGGGACTTGTTGGAAGGGCATAATTGTGTTTTGAAATGTGAGGACATGAGACTTGGGAGGGGCCAGGCACAGAATGATAGGGTTTGGCCTTGTCTCCACCTAAATCTAATCTTGAATTGTAGTTCCCATAATCCCCATGTGTCTTGGTAGGGACCTAGTGAGAGGTTGAATCATAGGAGTGGTTACTCCCCATGCTGCTGTTCTCATGATAGTGAGTGAGTTCTCACAAGATCTGATGATTTTATAAAGAGTTTTTCCCCTTTTGCCCTTTTTCTCTCTTCTGCTGCCATCTGAAGAAGGATATGTTTGCTTCCCTTTCTGCCATAATTGTAAGTTTCCTGAAGCCTCCCCAGCCTTGCGGAACTGTGAGTCAATTAAACTTCTTTCCTTTATAAATTACCCAGTCTCAGGTACGTCTTTATTAGCAGCATGAGAATGGACTAATATACCTTCTCTCATGTTAACTGCCCTCTTGGATCAGACGTTGTAGAGATAATTTATCTTGTTCCCAACATAATTTTTCTCTTGAGGGGTGGTTTTGAGGTTAGTGGTCTGAGTTCACACTCATCAAAATCTGAGCTTATTCTAGCATTAAGGTCTGCTTTGGCATTCTCTTTTAATTTCATTTTAGCTATTACAGATTACAATAAGCAATGGATTATATATTTTTCTTTTAAAAATTAGTTTGCATTTCTTTATGGATCTTGTGAACCAGCTCTCTGGGGGTTGGATTTGTATCTAAATTATAGAAAATTTGAATGATCCTGGGAAGACAGGAGGCTTTTCTCTCCAGCAATTTGCAGAGTTGGGTCTGTAGTTAAGATCAAGAGCAGTTGACAGAATTGGTAGCAGCACAAGAGATCATGAGCCACCTAAGGTGACCTAACTGAGTTGTTTCTGGAGATCTAATTTTTTTTTTTTTAGATGGAATCTCACTCTGTCGGTCAGGCTGGAGTGCAGTGGTGCCATCTCAGCTCACTGTAACCTCTGCTGCCTGGGTTCAAGCAATTCTCCTGCCTCAGCCTCCTGAGTAGCTGGGATTAGAGGTGCCTGCCACTGCACCTGGCTAATTTTTGTAGTTTTAGTAGAGACGGGATTTCACCATCTTGGCCAGGCTGGTCTTGAACTCCTGACCTCATGATCTACCCTCCTCAGCCTCCCAAAGTGCTGGGATTACAGGCATGAGCCACCACGCCCAGCCTCTAATTTCTTTTTTTAAAATTTAATTTAATATTAAGTTCCGGGATGCATTTGCAGGACGTGCAGGTTTGTTACATAGGTAAATGTATGTCATGGTGGTTTGCTGCACCTATTAACCCACCACGTAGGTATTAAGCCCCACATGCATTAGCTATTTATCCTGATGCTCTTCCCACCTATCCCCGACAGGTCCCAGTGTGTGTGGTTCCCCTCCCTGTGTCCATGTGTTTTCATTGTTCAGCTCCCACTTATAAGTGAGAACATGCAGTGTTTGGTCTTCTGTTCGTGTGTTAGTTTGCTGAGAATGATGGCTTCCAGCTCCATCCATGTCTCTGCAAAGGATGTGATCTTGTTCCTTTTCATGGCTGTGTAGTACTCAGTGGTGTATATGTACCACATTTTCTTTATCCAGTCTATCATTGATAGGCATTGGGGTTGATTCCATGCCTTTGCTATTGTGAATAGTGCTGCAAAGTACATATGTGTGCATGTATCTTTATAATAAAATGATTTATATTCCTTTGGGTATAAACCCAGTAATGGGATTGCTGGGTCAAATGGTATTTCTGGTTCTAGGTCTTTGAGGAATTGCCACACTGTCTTACACAATGGTTGAACTCAGGCATCCTATAAAATGGGAGAAAATTTTTGCAATCTATCCATCTGACAAAGGTCTAATATCCAGAATCTATAAGGAGCATCACTGATTATTAGAGAAATGCAAATCAAAACCAGAATGAGATAACATCTCACACCAGTCAGAATGGCCATTATTAAAAAGTCAAGAAATAATAGATGCTAGCAAGGCTTTGGAGAAATAGGAAACAGCTTTTACACTCTTGGTGAGATCTGATTTCTTAATTAACTTAGATACTAATTTATTAATAGACAGGAAACTAATTTCTAATTTCTTAACAGATACATACTGGCTTCTCAGCCAGGCTACTGACCTTTACCCCTTACATACACACCTTAACTTCTGTATGAACATGGATGTGACTGCATTGGGTAAGAGAGGGGAGAGGTGGTGGGCAGCAGAAGGGTGGCCTCTTTGAGGAAGATGTGGGTAAGGATAGCAGGATTCTACTTAGGGGTAGACAGAGCAGTGAACTTTCTGTGGATCAGAGACCTGGGTTTTGATTCTATGCTTGTACTGTCAGAGTATGCATATTCCATGTAGATTGTAGCCTGTGGCAGAGAGAAGAAAGTAGTCATCCTTCAATGCCTTCTCATCAGCTTCAAGATAATATGCCATTCATTCAAAATATTTTTATTGATCTCTTAGTGTATGCAAGAAAATATGTGGAAGGCAGTGGTGACTTAGAGACTCTAAGAAACTGGTTTGACTATAGGGTGGCAATCGGGGGAACAGTATTATTAACAGCCTAGAGAGGTTGGTGTGGTCTTGTGGGTTGTATTTGGACTTTAACAGTAACAGAGGAGCACTGCAGCTATTTAAGCAGGAGAGACTCTCTTGTCTTTCTCTGAGATTCTCTCCCTATGTCTCTAAATCTGTTTCTCTGCAGAGAAACAGATTTTATCCATATGCTCTTTATCCATACAGCCTTTATCTATAAGCTCTTCATCTGTTTCTCTTTGTTTCTCTGCTTCTCTGTCTCTTTTTGTCTCTCTACTGCTTTGTTTCTCTCCATTACTGTTATTGTAGCAGTATCTATATATCTCTCTGGGTCTCTTTCCAGCACTAGACCTCCCTGTGCCTTTAAGGAAATAAAGGAGCATAGGGCATTGGACCTGAAGCAGTATCTTTTGTTTCTTACCCTCTACTAGATCTTGCTGTCTGCCCTTGTCTCTGCGTATTAGTGAGCGTCCTCTCCTGACTCAACAAAGAAAGTAAGAGAATGAAGTGTATAGAACTGAAAATGCCTTGACGTATTCTTTTTCTCAAATGTGTCCAGATTTTTCCAAAAAGATTGAGCTTTAGAATTTATGTGATATCTAACCAAAGTGAACAAGTTCTGTGTCCCCAAAAACTCAGGATCCACCTCTATGACAAGGAGGAGCTCAGATAATCCATAATATTCCAATTCTTACCACTATTAAAACAGTTCTATTTAGCATCCAATACTAGGTTCATAATTCTGAACATCAGAATCTCAGAAGGTTTTCTGCATTCATAAATATTTTACTGTTTTTAAGAGGGTTCAATGTATTGGTTTTTGATACTTCAAAAATGATCGTGTACATGTGGTAGATGTATCAGGGTCCTTTGGTTGTAAAAAACAGAAAATACCTCTGGCCATCTTAAGAAAAATAAATTTTGGTTCAACCATTGTGGAAGTCAGTGTGGCGATTCCTCAGGGATCTAGAACTAGAAATACCATTTGACCCAGCCATCCCATTACTGGGTATATACCCAAAGGATTACAAAACATGCTGCTATAAAGACACATGCACACGTATGTTTATTGTGGCACTATTAACAATAGCAAAGACTTGGAACCAACCCAAATGTCCAACAATGATAGACTGGATTAAGAAAATGTGGCACATATACACCATGGGATACTATGCAGCCATAAAAAATGATGAGTTCATGTCCTTTGTAGGGACATGGATGAAACTGGAAACCATCATTCTCAGCAAACTATCGCAAGGACAAAAAACCAAACACTGCATGTTCTCACTCATAGGTGAGAATTGAACAATGAGAATACATGGACACAGGAAGGGGAAGATCACACACCAGGGACTGTTGTGAGGTGGGGGGAGAAGGGAGGGATAGCATTAGTAGATATACCTAATGCTAAATGACAGTTAATGGGTGCAGCACACCAGCATGGCACATGTATACATATGTAACAAACCTGCACATTGTGCACATGTACCCTAAAACTAAAAGTATAATAATAATTTAAAAAAAAGAAAAATCAATTGGAGAAGATAAAATTTTATAATTAAAAAAAGAAAAATAAATTTTGGAAAGATACAGTGAGTACCCCACCAAATGAAAGAACCAGTAGGACCATCAGGTTACTGGAGTAAAATGAATCAGGGTAGGCCTGGGGAATTCAGATTGGAAGTAACAGGTAACCCCATTTGGACAATACCATCTGTTGAAGATTCAAAGCACTAAGAAAAACTGACTTGTTGAAATTGGATCACTTGTTCACCCTTGTGATCAGTTTCATGGTCAAGAACTCACTGGAACTGTATGGAATAGGAATAGCCGTTCTCATGAATGTTCACAAATAGAGAAGAACAAGGGATGGCAACTTCTGTTATAGCAACTCATTATTAACTGCCTGTTTGATTATGGTATTCTATTCCTCTCTCTGCCAGGGAATAGAAAGTTTTTGCGTTTTGCTTGAGAATTGGGAAACATGAAGAACAGTGACTGAGTAAGGGGCTGGGTGTTATTTATAGCATGATTATAAATCTTTTATATTTGAAGGATTTTCAAGTTCCCCTTTGATTCCTTGAGTTGTTACATTTGAAATTCAAGGTGGTAAGTTGATTATGAGACCCTTCATTCTCCTTCTTCTACACTTGAGATCTGACCAAACACAAAAAGGGATAGGTTGCCAAAAGGAGGGCTTTGTTTAACTTTTTTGGAGTATTAGAACCTTATGGGTCTAAAAAAATATTTACATTAAGAAAATATTGACCATGAAGGAGAGCATGTAAACTCTGTAAAACAATGAAAACAAACAAGACAGAAGTTTCCAGTTTCCCCATTGCTTTCTACCTTTGTCCTCTTTTCTTATTCTTTCCTATTCTTTTATTCTTTTTTCCTTCTTTCTTTCTTTCTTTCCTCCCTTCCTCTCTCTTTTCCTTTCTTTCTTCCTCTCTCTCTCCCCACCCCATGAACCTTGACTAACTAACAAACCTCAAGGCTTGCAAAAATCATTCTCAAAAAATACTTTTCTGATGATTATTGACATGAAAGGGGCATGAAAGCAGGTATAAGCCCCCAACTGAGATTTTAAAATAGAAAGCTGTTGCCTTAGCCAAAACAAGGTAACGAGGATGTGTACTCCACTTCCTCTATCCTGTAAAAACTCTGATCTGACTTCAGTAAGGAGATCTCAATGCTCATCACCTGAATAAAGTCTTTAGCCTTTGAGTCACATCATTTTCATTTGACAGTCTTTGTCAGTGATTCCCGAATAGCACATGTGTAAAAATACATCTATCCTCCCAGATTTTGGGATTGATGGATGTGGCCTTGGATGAACAAAGTCCCAGTGGCCAATCTTCCCTGGTGAAAGTCAGCCTTGTACATCTAACTTAAAGTGTGCTATGAAATGAAAATGTTTTGGAAGCACTGCCTGTTCTCCCCTATCGCCACGCACACTGCTGGTCTCTCTTGGTTGCCAGGCACTGGTTTAGGTTCTGAGCAGAATACTCCACAGTGTTCTCTACAGTGTGTTGTAGAATAGGAGGGTCCTGGCAACCTGAGGCAGAGCTGGTGTTACAGAGTACCTGCCTACTGCTATAAAGTTTTACTTTATACGAATTCTGGAGAAGCTGAGTGAGGCCATGTCTGTTACCAGGAGACATGAGACTCACAGCAGATCTCTCTGGCTTAACATGGGAGATGGCGGTAAGTGCAGCTATATCTGAATTTTTTTAATAGTTAAAAGCTGACTTTATCCAAATAGGGATTAATGTATTTTCCATAAGAAGTTCTGTTCTAGGTAGAAAAAAAGTGAAGATTTTGGTTAGGTTAAACTGATTTTTAAAGTATAGGAAGAGTTACAGATTTTTTTCTTATTGAGTCTAGTCTTGAGAACAATTTATCAAGAACTCCAAATTTAAAGGCAATTAGTTAATTAAAAACTTGAAAGATCTAACTCTTTGAGTTTAAACTGGACTCATTAGAAAACAAATGGAAGAAAAAGGTATCTAAATGTTCATAATGACTTGTGTCTGACATTAAAACAAGGATTCAGTCACTAGAAGATATGTCAAAGTCCATCAGTACCAAATGGATAAAGCCAAAATAACTTTAAAACTATATCACATGAATGAAGACTTGCCATAGCAATAAAGTAGAGTTTGGATGAAGACGTCCATCTTCGGGAAAACCCAAAATAGCTTTTACAAAAAACTGAAGGATGAAATAAAAGATTAAGCCAACAGAAATAAACATATTGAAAATATCTCAATAAACAGAAATAACTTAGAGTGAGTCAGAACTGAGAACACCTAGAACAAGTTCCAAAGAACAAGAAAAGTCAGAGCAAATCTCTGACACTTGGAGAAGATAAAACAGATGCAGGTATGTTAGAGTGGATGTAATAAACAAATCAGAACATGTATATTACTTAGATAGCTCTCAATAATCTGATTTATGCTTTTGTAAAACCTTTGGAGAGGACACAAACAAAATATAGTCTGAATTATCTGAAAAGAATAAAAGGAACACTTAAAATCATATTAAGCATATAAAATAAATCAAGAATCTTTGGACCAGAAAATGCACAGTATGAAAATTAGCTTCAAAATCTCCAGGACAGAGATTAAGTAATTACTGATATATATCAAGAAAATGAAATAAAACTTCAGATCATTTACATATTTATACATCTTAAAGTAGAAGAAGATAACCTTCCTCATTGATTCTACCTTCAAATAGACCTGCTTATTATTATTATTTTTTAATGTTTTTGTAGAGATGGAGTCTTGCTATTTTGCCCAGGCTAGTCTTGAACTCCTGGGCTCAAGCGATCTTCCTGCCTCTGCCTCCCAAGTGCTGGGATTACAGATATGAGCCACCGCAACTGGCCCTGAACCTACTTTTAACATCCAGGAAAAATAGCCATATCATTGTTGTCCTAAAGTAATTAAAAATTCTCTCTATTCTAGTTTCGTTGCTGTTAAATTGTTATACAGGAGTTCAAATTGAAGCTTAATAGAATTAAAACTCTTAGGATGGTGTTTTCTAAATATATATTACTTAAATGTTGGGGAAGAGAAATAATTTTAATTTCTAGATAGTACATGTACAATATTCTGTTTTTTAAATAAGTTATACTGGGAGATTTATAAAGGCAGTTGAACAATCAAAGACATTTGGAACTAAATTTCTGTATATCAAGTGCTGTATTTACTATAGTTAAAACACAAGTATGAAAACAATGGAATGTTTATATACAAATGACTTTTATAAATGACTATTTCAATTGATTTAAGAAGTCATTTGATGAAAATGATAAAATAGTTAGAGATATAGTGGGAAAAAAAGAGACCCACGGGGAAACACCATGATAGACTGAGCCAAATGTAGAGCTCAGCTCTTCCTCCCCCAGGATCATAACATATCACCAGATAAACCTTTGAAAAAAAACGAAATGCAACAAAACAAAAAGAAAATCCAGAAAAGAAAATCGTTAGTTTTCTATATTTCATAATTTCTGTACTTTCCCTCTTCCCAGGTGTCTGTTCACACCTTCTCTGCTCTATCCAAGCGCACATCCTTTCCTTTTCTTCACTCCCAACTGATGCCTCTGCTTTTCAAAACTTCAGAGAAAATTGGAGAAATCAGAAAGGAATTTCTGTCAGATTTCAATACTACCTCAACACACCCACCTGCTTCTATATCCATGTATTCTACTTTCTGTCTGGTTCCTATTGATGAACTGTTTGTGCTCTAGCAAAGGCTGATCAATCCTCTGCTGCCCTGGATCCATCCCCTCACCGACCTAAAGACTTTGTTTCTGAGTTCACCCTCACTCTCCTGCTGTGTAATTTTGCATACTCTATAGGTCATTACCATAGAATACAAGCATGCTGCCATTACATCCATCTTACAGAAAAAAACTCTTTCTGCCTTCTCTTGACCTCCCTTTCCCTACAGCTATTGAATCATTTCTTCCTGCCTTCAGCAAAGCACTATTCATGAGTTTTCTATGCTTTCTGTCTCTAAGTTGTCTCCCACTGTTCTCTCTTGCTTCCATTCCAGTGTGGCTGTTGCCTTCTTTTTCTCTAGCAAAACTCCTCCCTTAGTGTCACAGATGACTTCCTTATTGCTAAATCCAATGGTCAGTTCTTAATCTTCATCTCACTTGACCTACTATACTAACAGCCTTTGACACAGCTCCTTCTTCTTTGATATACTTTAATACTTTCTTTTTTTTTTCTTTCACCCAAAGCAAGATTCCTCCTCCTATCTTGTCTGAAGGAGAGTGGCGAGAGCAGATTAAAGCATCCGTGAGGCAGCCTTCTAAAATTTCTCAGGAAGTGGTAGCCAGTGTGAAAATGTATCACCTCACCTTGCTTCATATTTCCCTTCTCTCAGTTCCCTTTTTTTCTCACCTTTGCTGCCCTCTATTTGCATTCCCAAATAAAACATTAATATTTCCTTTTTTGCCTCAAGCTCTGATTTTTAGAGAATCTAGGCTAAGAAACTCACTAAGGTCTTAAGGTAAAAGGCCCAGCAAACACACTGTTATTTTGCTCAATCACAGAACGCTCTAGCTATTCAAAAACTGTTTTCTCTTTCTCCTTCTTCCACATGCACATCCACTAAACCCCGGACCCCAAATTGACAGACCATTCCCAAAACAATAACTTCTGGGTATGTGCTGGCCCTGGCTGGTGGCTTTTCAGTGTAGAGTTCCATGGTTCTAAATTCTTGACTTCAGGAACTCTCCAAATTATATAAAATGGCAAACTCAGAACCAGTTATTTATACTTGAAATACATTTTTATGTATAAAGAAATAAATTTTAACATATTAAGGCATAGTCACAGGACAAATGACAAGTATTGTCATTGTACAGTTATCTAGTGTGTTTGGATTATAAAGGCACACAAGGATTTTTATGGTAGGGAAGACATTGCTATTGTTTTCAACAGAGAAATAGGAGGATTAGGCAGAGGAAGGGAATTAGGAGAAATTTCACCGAAAAAGCCCATGAAGCTTTGGGTAAGGCAGACGAGGCTGGATATGACAGGAAGAATTTGCTGGATACATTATGGTCTGCTGGCACCATCTGGTGTTGAACCCAAGAAAAAACGGAAGATGAAGAAAAAGCTTTCAGAAAGTAATGGAGCCAAGATGAGGCCCACTGAGGGTCTTGTTCAAGTGACATCGGGATCTCGTAACAGAACAAATGGCTGTCAAAGTAGCTGGAAAAGCCCTAGGCTATATCTCCTTAGGGCTCCTTCCTTCCCCAACTTTCCAGATGTCAGACCCTAACCTACCTCAGAGATAGCACTTTACCTTTCACCCTCTCTTACCCATGTTCCTCCAACTGGTGCCATTCCCATCTGACTATCCCATGCCCACACCCAGATCCAGAAGCTGGATAACCCCGCCTCCCTAAACAGCAGATGCCATGTTGGAGAGGTGAATGCAATTGGAATCACTGAGCATTTACTTCACGTTCTCATTTCCACCGATTTTACCTCATGCCTCACTATTTAATAATATAAAATTAAAGTAAAATCTTCCCTTCAAAAAAATTTTTAATGAAATAACATTGCTCTGAAAAAGATAGTTCAACATATGTCAAAATGGCCTTTTCTCTTATTATAAAAATGAAAATTTAAAACCATACATAATGAAACAAAAGGACACTAAAAACATTTTATCAAATATGTTTGTATATGTTCCTGTGCTTTTGTGTTTCTATGTGCACACCTATGCTTTGTGCACTAGAATGACTGCTGCTAGTCTCACTCTGACCCTGTAGGCTTACTCCCATGTAATAAAACATGCCTCTTGATATAGCAATATGCCCTGATTTATGGCAGTGCTTCTATGCCAGGAGCATTTTTGCTTCCTAGGGCATATTTGACAATGTCTGGAGGTATTTTTGCTTGTCACAACTTGGGGGGAAAGGAGATGCTACTAGCATCTAGTGCACAGAGGCCAAAGATACTGCTGAGCATCCTAAAATGCAGAAGAGAGACCCTGACAACAGAAAATTATCTGTTCCAAAATGTCCATAGGGCTAAGGGTGAGAAATTTTGATTTATAAAACACTGGTACCCATGTCCTGTTTGGATCTGAGCTCTTTTCCTTTTGCCAAGTGTGCATAGTTTCAAAGCAGGCCCCAGATGGAATTCTGTGAACTCTCTGTTTAATTGAAGATGGAAAAGATATCATTAATTACTAACTGCTGGTGAATGTCCCTTCTTGTGAATAACTGAAATAAAAAATCATGTTATCAAGTGTTAGAATGAGTGATTTGGCCTGTTCCCCCAGTTTGCCACAGCCTGCTCTAGAACACAGATACCTATTCCTTTTCAGTGCTTGAGTATATTTAAATAAAGCATGCCCTAATTTATAGTTAAGTTTTAAGTAATTCAAGAAGGGCTCTATACTTTTCTCTGAGTTGATCCAAAACAATGACTATTATATAATAAACAAGACCTTGTATACCAAAATTGTGTTTGAGGGCTTATATGTCTTTTTTTAATGAATAAATAAAAGGTGGAAACGGAAGGAAGGGAAGGAAAAAAGCAAGAAAGGAAGGAAGGCTAAAGAAAAGCACAGGAAGCCGGGGAGAGCGAGAAACAGAAATGATGTGACTCATGGAGATCTAAAAGGCATGGGGGAATATTGCCTTACATGGGCTCAAAAGAAGTCTGGAAAGAGATTGGAGAGGATAGAAAGCTCTGAGGCCAAGTGAAATACAGTAATGCAGATGGAGAAGATTACATCTCTTCCTTTACAGACTGGCAAAGTTCTTGAGTGAAAAATTATACAAGATGACCTTTAAAGTTGCTTTGTGAAAAAAGTTGAGCGCTGTGTACTCTGCTTCATTTTTTATGTGCCTAAGTCTCTGTTAAATAATCGCAGTGCTCCTTTCACGTCATTATTCCTCAGTGTGTAGATGAGAGGATTGAGGGTCGGGGTCACAACTGTATAGAAGAGGGAGATGAACTTCCCATGAGCATGGGCATAAGAACTGTTGGACTGGATGTAGACAGCTGTGATGGTCCCACAGAAGAGGGACACTACTATCAAATGGGATCCACATGTCCCCAGGCCTTTGCACCAGGCCTGGACTGACTTGATCCTTATGACCACCTTGGCTATATGTCCATAGGACAGCAGTATTAGCACTAAGGGCAAGAGGAGCAAGACCAGTGAAGCAACAAAGAGCTGAACCTCATTATCATGGATGTCCACACATGCAAGCTTAATCATGGAGGGTACCTCACGAAGAAATGTTGGAGCAATCGGTGTCCACAGCGAGGAAGCCAGAGGGTGACAGTGCCCTGGATAAGAGTGTTTCCCACTCCACTCAGCCACGCAACCCCTGCCAGAGCCTGGCACAGCTGAGGGTTCATTACGGCGGTATAGTGGAGAGGTTTGCAAACTGCAGCATAGCGATCAAAAGCCATTACAGCCAGGAGGACACACTCAGTGGAGCCCAATGCCAGGGAGATGTAGAGCTGGATGACACAACCCAGGAATGTGATTGTTTTGTCAGGTCCTTTTAGGTTCCACAGCAGCTGGGGGACAATACTGGTGGTAAAACAGATATCAACTAAGGAGAGGTGAGTAAGAAAAAATACATGGGTGTCTTGAGTTTAGGGTCTACAGAGCAGATCAGAATAATTACTGTATTTCCCACAAGGGTAAGGAGATAGGATATCAAAACAGCCACAAAGAGGATCTTTTCCAGGTGGGGCTGATGAGAGAAACCCACCAGGATGAAGTCTCCCTTGACACTGCTGTTGGTCATGCCCATCACCCTGTTCAGAACTAGGAGAAACACATTACAAGAATTCAGGGAGGATAATGTGTTGGCCATTGGGCAAAATATCAATCTTTAAAAAGTTTTGATTAATCTCTAATCAAAACACTGACTCAGAGATGTTACAGTGACCCATGGAATAAATTTTGATATAGAAATCACAAAAGAAGACCTTAAAGAAAATACATAATACAGAGAGATACATGAAGGCTATTGTGGAAGCAGTATTTTCCTGACTGATAACTATTAGAAGCTGAGATAAAGTGTATCACAGAAAAAATAAAGGCAGAAAGAAAGAAAATGTCAAAGGAATAAAGTACATTCAATTAATTTATAACTCAGGACAAATTGTTCAAATTCAGTGAAAAAACTCAGTAATGGTTAATATATGCAAATAATTAATATAAATAGCATTTCCATTCTTCAATTGTAAATTCTGAGTTGGGCATTTTTTAAGGTTTTTCTTTATATGAATGGTAGCTCGCTTCTGGAGATTATAGAGGTTATTTTTCCTATAAAATGGCAAACATTTGGCTATTGAAAGTAATAATATTAACATTTATAACTTAATGTTTAATTATATGGACACATACTTTCAATGACTTATTTTCTTTAGGGATTCGTTAACTCATTTAGTCCACCAGCATACTGATGACGTAAACTCATGCAGTTTATTCAGCAAAGATATTCTTATGCAAGCATTATGCAGCACACCTCATGTTTAGTCATCTAGTTTACCTTCTGGCCTATAAGCTGGATTCATCTATGATAGTCCTGATTTGCAAAGTTCTCCTTCTCTTCTTTGGTGTGTGGTGTTAGGGAAGGGAGTTAGCTCTCTGGTCTTGTGTGTTGAATGAAGAGGTAGTTGAATCTGAATGGAAAGAGTGGTGATCAGGGTAAGAAGGGCTCTTTAGTGAGACTAAGAGGCATCAAACCAACATAGAATGTTTATCTTCTAGAAGATGAAAAGATCAAAATTTTTAATCAGCTTTTTAAAAGTCCAAACACTTATAAATGCAGAAGTTTAAAATATATTCACAGATACAAAGTATATACCCAAATTTCACGACTTTACCTCATATATAGGACAAATAGGCACTTTCCACGTGGCATCAGGAAAAATTACTCCAGCCTAAAATTCTTCCCCTACAATAACTGTATATCCTGAAATTGCATTAATATTTGTTCTGAAAATTAGTCATTAAAGTAAAATATATAAGGTAATTTTCACTGCTTTTTTAATATTTATTTCACTTATCATCTAAAAATTGTACTTAGCAGTACTCAATGGAAATGAAAAGAAGTCACAGGAAAAGTCAGAGGAGGCATGGGTACCCCATAAAAGGATGAAGACACTGAGTGATCCCTCAAAATAGGGGGAGGAGAGCACAATAGTAAAAAGAGAACATGAAAGGACCCTTAAGGAATAAACCAGTTTATAAATATGCTACATGTAATATATTCAATATAACGTATACTAAATATATATAGTTCTAATAATTTCACTCACAGTTATACACATACATACCCATAAAAACATACATACATGCGTAAGTCTTCCGATTCTCTCATTTATGTTAATTCCCACCCATTTAGCTACACTAAATTGTACTCGTTTTACTTGTATCAAAGGAATAAAATAAAGCCAGACACACATCACTCTTGTTCTAATCTGTTTAATGCAGCCTGCTCATTGTCAATTTACCCATCCCAATCAAAGGAGACTTCTCCTGTATTTTTAACACACACTCACACACAATACCTCCAAAGAAACGCGATGAGAGATCAATTCACAGTCATGAACCAGCTCCTTATTTGTAGGAATATGTTTGTTTTAGGCTTGTAGAAGAATTTTATTTTACCATGATGCAAAATTTAACATGTGCACTATATAATCTCCCCTCACCCAGATGAACATCACTTTAAACCAGTTCGCCATTAAAAGTTAAGAATCATGGGCATGGTATAGAAATAAAATCAAAGCATAAAAAGAAATAAATATGTTACAAGAAAAAAAGTTTTCCACATTTTTTTCACACTAATAATCATATTTTAATACAGAAAGGAAGCTTAAGCCATAGAGTTCAAACCATTATTACCTTCAAGTGACAACTCAGTGTCTAAGGCTCATGTATTGGTTGTCGGGGCTGTTATTTGAGATTGGAGATCACTGAAGATCAGCAAATCAGGAGACACTGGCAAGGACGCAGGACACTGAATCCAAAAAGATCCCAGGGACACAGTTCTCCCAACATGCAATTAATATCAGGCTCTGTAGTATCCAAAGATGAAATGTCCCAGGAGATTATTCTGAAAGAAATAATTTTGACTCTCTGATCTTTCAATATTGTGTAAATCTAGGCAAAACCACAAAGATATTTAACTTCTGCCCTCATAGCCTCCCAACGTTCAATTTTCTCATTTCTGCTGTTAAGTTTCTATCAAAAATCTAGTATTTTATATATGCAAGTACATATAATTAATTTATCCTGTTGACTCATAACTTTAAATTCTCTTCTTAATAACTTTAAATTTTGGGGCACCTTGCCTTTACCTCACCTCTACTGAGACAAAAACGGCAGGCCTGCAGCCTTCCAACAGGGCCTTTTCCCTCATATCTAATAGGCACTTGACTGTTGCTGGAGATAAATATATAAATGTTTTGAACGGCGCCCTTAAACACCCCTGGTCTTTCTCAACTTCCAATGGGCTCTCTTCTGTCCAGAGGTCATTCTGTGTGTATCCTGTTTGTCTCTTGCATCACCATAGCAAATGTTCAACAAATTCTTAAATCCTCCAATCCAGTGTCCCACAGCTCTCCAAGCAGGTTATCTTGCCCTGACTTCCAAGACAAAACAGAGGGCCCAGGGGGAAATTCCATTAACTTCCTGTCTGTCACCTATAAATGTATATACATTCATACTCTTCCTTTATGATTTTTTTTCAGGTCTCAATAGAGGAAGTGAACCTCTATTTGTTTAAGGCAAATTCTATAAATATTTTAGGGTCCAAGAAAAATCTAATGCATATTCAAGTACAAGCAGGTGATATGAATGACTGAGTGGATAAGGTATAAGAAAAACAATTGTAGAAATGCAATGATAAGTGTCAACAAACATTTAGCTGAGGTCTATATGCAGTAATAAAAGAGTGGTGAACATTTTGCTGCACATGCCACATCTGAAGAAAACAACAACTGCTGAGCGCTAGTTGACCAATTTTCTATGCATTGAGCCCCAGGATTGCAAAATATTCTGAATTCTCAATGGAATCTAGATTTTTATGAAAGCTTTCATTTAAAAAAATAGTTTAGTTAGTGGGTGCAGCGCACCAGCATGGCACATGTATACATATGTAACTAACCTGCACAATGTGCACATGCACCCTAGAACTTAAAGTATAATAAAAAAAAGAAAAAAAGAAAAAAAAATGTTTGCTGAAGGCAAAAAAAAAAAAGTTTATATAAAATAGTTCATGAAGGTGCAACTTAATTATTACAAAGTGAACAAATTTTGATCAAGAAAACAATGTAAGAAACATTCTAGAATGACTCTCAATTTCATTTCCTTATGCTACTTATACCTGCCCCTTGTAACCATTATTATGATTTTTTTGAACTATATATAAACAAAATCATACAGCATTATTTCTTTTGTTTCTGCTTATATTTATTCAATGTTATCTTTGGGAGATTCATTTATGTGGTTGCATATACCAATACAGCACTATATTTTTACTGCATTGTATTTCATTGTATAAATATGCCACAACTATTTTATCCTTTGTAGTACTGATAGGCTAGACATTTGGGTGCTTATGATTTTTGTCTTTTGTGAATATTGCTGCTGCAGTCACTTTAGTATATGTGTTTGGTAAGAAATGTAAGCATTTTGGCAGGGACGATACTGTGGAGAAATTGCTTAGGTTTGAGGTATGCATATATTCAGCTTTGGTAGATACCACCAATTCTGGAAGTTGGTTGCACAAACTTAAACTCCACAGTATGGTGAGAATTACAGTTGCTCCAAATCTATACTAACAGTGTTTTCTGTCCTCTTAATTTTAGCCATTCTGGTGATATATCATGAATATATCATTATGATTTTAATTTGTACTCACCTACTAACTAATGAAGTTGACCAGTTTCTCTTATATTTATAGTCATTGAGAAATCTTTTGTGTAGTATCCATTCAAGTCCTTGACTTTTTCCAAATTCATTTGTAGGAAATTTTTATATATGCCAGAGGTTTAAAAAATAGAAGGCAAGTTTCAAATACTATTTTAGTCAAGTATAACTTTGGCAACAAAACAAAATTTTAAAATTGCATGATAGTCCCATGAATTAACATAGATTTGAAAATATTACCAATTAATTCAATTATTTAAAATATTCTACACACTGCTGAAAGTAAATTTATTCCAGAAAAAAATGAAATTCATTTTTTCATTGTGTTAGCAAAATAACACAATAAAGAAACAACATTTTATAATCATATCATCAGATAAAAAATCAAGTATTTGATGAGTCTCAAAATATATAAAAATAATAAAAATGACTTAGTAAGCTATGAAAAGAATGATAGATCCTAATCTGTTAAACAGGATCCGAAAACCCTTTCAGCAAGCATTATGAATATGTTGAAAATTTTCTCTTTGAAATTGAGGAAAAGACAAGGACACCTTCTATTTCCATTTCCATTCAAACTACTTTGTTGTAGAGACTTTAGCCAGTATAATAGGATAAGACAAGGAACAAGCAAGATTGCAGTAGAAGAAATAAAATTTCATTATTATATATATGATTATGTATGTAGAAAATTCAAAGTGATTACAACTATTCATAGATGATTCAAAATTGTATAGATATTAATTATATCTTTGATCTCTATATTCAGTGCTAACTCAATCAAAATTCAGACTATTTGTAAAATTTTCTAAGATTATTCTAAAATGTATATAGAATACCAAGTTGTATATAGAATATCAAGTATCATTAATTCTGAGACACTCTTGAAGAAAAAATTGTCAACAAAAAAGAGTCAAACTCCATGAAATATTTAAAGAGTTTTATTCTGAGCCAAATGTGAGTAATTGACGGCCTGAGGCGCAGTCTCAAGACATCCTGAGAACAAGTGCCCAAGGTGATTGAATTACAACTTGATTTACATTTTAGGAGCATGTAAAAAATCAGTCAATACATGTGGGGTCTGTGTTGGTTCAGTCATGAAAGGTGGAACAACTCAAAGTGGGGCCTTCCACATCAAAGGTAAATTCAAAGATTTTCTTATTGGCAATTGGTTGAAAAACTTGTTACTATTTAAATGCCTAGAATCAATAGAAAGGAGTGTCTGGATTAAAATAAGGGATTGTAGAGAACAAGGTTCTTATTATGTAGATGAAGTCTCATAAGTGGTCACCCTTACAAGCAATAGATGGGAAATATTTTGTATTCAGACCTTTAAAAGGTACTGGACTCTCAACTAAACTCTTCAGGATCAGAAAAAGACCTGGAAAGCAAAGGCGATTCGCTACAGAATGTAAATTTCCCCCACCAGAAGCAGCTTTGCAGGGACATACTCTCCTCCCTTTGGAATTCAGGCATAACTTACCAGCATTATTAACTTTAAAACAGAGATCTTAATTAAGACTGACAAAACAGATTCCTTATAGCAATAACATACCAAATTGCAACCTGACTCTAGTATAGCATCACATGATAGATAGCCAGTCCTGAAAGAAATCAAAGTATTTTACCCCAAAATAGATTTCTTTGACACCTTTTGGAATGCCTTTGAAAAGCTGTTGAAGTGGCATCGTTGTCTGGGGTAAATACCCAGGGTTCATCGTCTTGCACTAAGAAGATTAAGGACACGGACACATGTGGGTGTGTTAAGGAGCAGAGAGTTTAACAGGCAGAAGAAAGGAGAGAGGCAAGCAGCTCTCTCTCTCTCTCTCCCTCGTGAGAAAGAAGTTTTTGAAAGGGAAACAACTGGCTTGCGGCAGACCACAGCAGATTTTATAGGCAAGCTTGAGGAGGAGCCGGTGTCTGATTTACACAGGGTCACAGATTGGTTCTACCAGGTGTGACATTTACATAGCCCGCAGGGAAGTCTGGTTGACCCACCTTAATCTTATGGCCAGCACCATCTTGTCTGCTCCTTATTCTACACGTGGCTGACAAAGAGAAGGGAAGATGGAGCCACCATTTTGATCATGCTTAATCCCAGGTAGCCTTTTTCTATTAGCACAACTGCCAGCATTGATCAATGCAAACTTCCTGTTTGCTTGTCTATGTCTGCAGCTAGATTCTATACAGGCTGCTCTTTGTTAGAAAAAATGATTTGGGGGCTGCTTTTTATTAAAAGGAAAACCTTACCCAGGAAGGATTTCCTTACCCTCACTATCTGCCTAAATAATTTGTTTATAACACCTATATTATTGTTTCTTGTGGGGAAAATCTACATTCTGTATAGAATTCGCTACCCTTTCCAGGTCTTTTCCAGATCCAGGAGAGATTTAACTAATAGTCTGACACTTTTTAAGATCTCATAAGAGACATTTACTACTTAATTTTTTCTGAAGCCTGCCACCTGAAGACTTTATTTACATAACAAGAACCTTGGCTTCCACAACTCCCCCTATCTTAAACCCAAGCATTTCTGCTGACTTCGACTTTTTTTTTTCTAATAAAAACTTTATTTTAGGTTCAGGGGTACGTGTGAAGGTTTGTTACAGAAGGGAAACTGTGTCACAGGGGTTTGTTGTACAGATTATTTCATCACCCATGTATTATGCTCAGTATCCAATAGTTATCTTTTTCCCCTCCTACCCCTTCTCCCACCTTCCACCCTCAAGAAAATCTGTTTCTGTTTTTTCCTTCTTTGTGTTTATGAGTTCTCATAATTTAGCTCCCACTTATAAGTGAGAACATGTGGTATTTATTTATTTGTTCCTGCATTAGTTAGCTAAGGATAATGGCCTCTAGCTCCATCCATGCTCCCACAAAATACATGATCTTTTTTTTATAGCTGTATATACCACATTTTTAAAATCTAATTTGTCATTGGTAGGCATTTAGGTTGATTCCATGTCTTGCTTTTCTGGATAGTGCTGTGATGAACATTTACCTGCACATGTGCTGTATCCTTTTTTTTTTTTTTTTGAGACAGGATGTCACTCTCTCGCCCAGGCTGCGGCGCAGTGGCACAATCATGGCTCACTGCAGTCTTGACCTCCCCAGTCTCGGGTGATCCTCCCATCTCAGCTTCCCTGGTAGCTGGGACCACAGGCATGCACCACCACACCCGGCTAATTTTTGTATTTTTGGTAGAAATGCGGTTTGGCCATGTTGCCCACGCTGGTCTCAAAGTGCTTGGATTATAGCTGAGAGCTGCCGCACCTGGCCACATGTGTCTTTACAGTAAAATGATTTCTATTCTTCTGGGTGTATACCCAGTAATGGGATTGCTGGGTTGAATGGTAGTTTTGCTTTTAGCTCTTTGAGGAATAGCCATACTGTTTTCCACATTGGCTTAACCAATTTATACTCCCATCAACAGCATATAAGTGTTCCCTTTTCTCTGCAACCTTGCCAGCATCTGTTATTTTTTTACGTTTTAATAATAGCCATTCTGACTGGTGTGAGATGGTATCTCATTCTGGATTTGATTTGCATTTCTCTGATGACCAGTGATATTGAGCTTTTTTTTTTTTTCATATGCTTACTGGCCACATGTATGTGTTCTTTGGAAAAGTGTCTGTTCATGTCCTTTGCCCACTTTTTAATGGGGTTGTTTGTTTTTCTCTCATAAATTTGTTTAAGTTCCTCATAGAAGCTGGATATTAGCTAGTTATCCCAGCATGTTTGATGGAATAGGGAGTCTTTTCCCCTTTGTTTTTGTCAGTTTTGTTGAAGATCAACTGGTCATAGGTGTGCATTCTTATTTCTGGGCTCTCTATTCTGTTCCATTGGTCTATGTACCTGTTTTTGTACCAGTACAATGCTGTTTGGTTACCATAGTTCTGTAGTGTAGTTTAAAGTTGGGTGATGCCTCTAGCTTTGTTCTTTTTGCTTTGGATTGCCTTTGCTATTCGGGCTTTGTTTTTGTTCCATATGAAATTTAAAATAGATTTTCCTAGTTCTGCAAAGAATGTTGTTGGTATTTTGATAGGAATATCATTGAATATGTAAATTGCTTTGGGCAGTATGGCCATTTTAATAATATTGATTCTTCCTATCCACGAGCATGGGATGTTATTCCATTTGTTTGTGTCTTCTCTGATTTCTTTAAGCACGGATCTGATTTCTTTGTAATTCTCATTGTAGAGATCTTTCACCTACCTGGTTAGCTGTACCCCTAAGTATTCTATCCTTTCTGTGGCAATTGTAATTCCCAAATTAGAAAAGGATTGCCTTTCTAATTTGGCTCTTGGCTTGGCTGTTGGTGTATAGTAATGCTAGTGATTTTTGTATATGGATTTGTATTCTGAAACTTTGCTGAAGTTGTGTATCAGCTGAAGGAGCTTTTATGCTGAGGCAATGGGGTTTTCTAGATATAGTATCATGTGGTCTGCAAACAGATAGTTTGCCTTTCTTTCTTCCTATTTACATGCCATTTTTTTCTTTCTCTTGCCTGATTACTCTGGTTAGGAGCAATTCCTATATATATGTGTGTGTGTGTGTATATACACACTTTATATATATATACTTTATATATGTATATACTTTATATATACTTTATATATGTATATATACTTTATATATACTTTATATATATACTTTATACATATATATTATATATTATATATTTTAAGTTCTGAGATACATGTGTAGACGTGGAGGTTTGTTACATAGGTATACACGTGCCATGGTGATTGATGCACCCATCAACCTGTCATCTACATTAGGTATTTCTCCTAATGCTATCCCTCCCCTGGCCCCCCACCCCCTAAAAGACCACAGTGTGTGATGCTCCCCTCCCTGTGTCCATATGTTTTTATTTTTCAACTCCCAGTTATGAGTGAGGACATGCAGTGTTTGGTTTTCTGTTCCTGTGTTAGTTTGCTGTGAACGATGATTTCCAGCTTCATCCATGTCCCTGCAAAGGACATGAACTCATCCTTTTTTTTATGGCTGCATAATATTCCATGGGTTATATGTGCCACATTTTCTTTATCCAGACTATCATTGATGGGCATTTGGGTTGGTTCCAAGTCTTTGCTATTGTAAACAGTGCTGCAATAAACATACGTGTGCTTGTGTCTTTATATTAGAATGATTTATAATCCTTTGGGTATATACCCAGTAATGGGAATGCTGGGTCAAATGGTATTGCTGGTTCTAGATCCTTGAGGAATTGCTGCACTGTCTTCTACAATGGTTGAACTAATTTTCACTCCCAAGAACAGTATAAAAGCATTCCTATTTCTCCATATCCTCTCCAGTATCTGTAGTTTCCTAACTTTTTAATGATCGCCATTCTAACTGGCATGAGGTGGTACCTCACTGTGGTTTTGATTTGCATTTCTCTAATGACCAGTGATGATGAGCTTTTTTTCATGTTTGTTGGCCACATATATGTCTTCTTTGGAGAAGTGTTGATTCATTTGCTTCACCCACTTTTTGATGGGGTTGTTTGTTTTCTTCTTGTAAATTTGTTTAAGTTCCTTGTAGATTCTGGATATTGGCCCTTTGTCAGATGGATAGATTGCAAAAATTGTCTCCCATTCTGTAGGTTACCTTTTCACTCTGTTGTTAGTTTCTTTTGCTGTGCAGAAGTTCTTTACTTTAATTAGATCTGATTTGTCTATTTTGGCTTTTGTTGCCATTGCTTTGGTGTTTTAGTCATGAAGTCTTTGCCCATCCTGAATGGTATTGCCTAGGTTTTCTTCTAGGGTTTTTATGTTTTTAGGTCTTATATTTAAGTCTTTAATTCATCTTGAGTTAGTTTTTGTATAAGGTGTAAAGAAGGGGTCCAGTTTCAGCTTTTTGCATATGGCCAGCCAGTTTTTTCAATACCATTTATTAAATAGGGAATCCTTTCCCCATTGCTTGTTTTTTGTCAGGTTTGTCAAAGATCAGATGGTAGTAGACATGTGGCATTATTTCTGAGGCCTCTATTTTGTTCCATTGGTCTATATATCTGTTTTGGTACCAGTACCATGCTGTTTTGGTTACTGTACCCTTTTAGTATAGTTTGAAGTCAGGTAGTGTGATGCCTCTAGCTTTGTTCTTTTTGCTTAGGATTGTCTTGGCAATACGGGATGGGCTCTTTTTTGGTTCCATATGAAATTTAAAGTAGTTTTTTCTAATTCTGTGAAGAAAGTCAGTGGTAGCTTGATGGGGATAGCATTGAATCTATAAATTACTTTGGGCAGTATGGCCTTTTTCACTATATTGATTCTTTCTATCCATGATCATGGAATGATTTTCCATTTGTTTATGTCCTCTGTTATTTCCTTGAGAAGTGGTTTGTAGTTGTCCTTGAAGAGGTCCTTCACATCCCTTGTAAGTTGTATTCCTAGGTATTTTATTCTCTTTGTAGCAATTGTGAATGGGAGCTCATTCATGATTTGGCTTTCTGTTTGTCTATTATTGGTGTATAGAAATGCCTGTGATTTTTGCACATTGATTATGTATCCTAAGACTTTGCTGAAGTTGCTTATCAGCTTAAGGAGATTTTGGGCTGAGGTGATGGGGTTTCCTAAATATACAATCATGTTATCTGCAAACAGATACAATTTGACTTCCT
The DNA here is from genome assembly GCF_000001405.40 of Homo sapiens. NCBI lineage: Eukaryota > Metazoa > Chordata > Mammalia > Primates > Hominidae > Homo > Homo sapiens. Next base: position 506,516 of record NT_167246.2, read on the forward strand.
CTCCTCCTAATTGAATATGCTTTATTTCTTTCTCTTGCCTGATTGCCCTGGCCAGAACTTCCAATACTGTGTTGAATAGGAGTTGTGAGAGAGGGCATCCTTGTCTCGTGCTGGTTTTCAAAGGGAATGCTTCCAGCTTTTGCCCATTCGGTATGATATTAGCTGTGGGTTTGTCATAAATACCTCTTACTATTTTTAGATATGTTCCATCAATACCTAGTTTATTGAGTGTTTTTAGAATCAAGGGTTGTTGAATTTTATCAAAAGCCTTTTCTGCAGCTATTGAAATAATCATGGGGTTTTTATCATTGGTTCTGTTTATGTGATGGATTATGTTTATTGATTTGTGTATGTTGAACCACCCTTGCATCTCAGGGATGAAGCTGACTTGATCATGGTGAATAAGCTTTTTGATGTACTGCTTGATTTGGTTTGCCAGTATTTTATTGAGGATTTTTGCATCAATGTTCATAATGGATATTGGCCTGAAATTTTCTTTTTTCATTGTGTCTCTGCCAGGCTTTGGTATCAGAATGATGCTGGCCTCATAAAATGAGTTAGGGAAGAGTCCCTCTTTTTCTATTGTTTAGAATAGTTTCAGAAGGAATGATAGCAGCTCTTCTTTGTGCCTCTGGTACAATTCGGCTGTTTATCCATCTGGTCCTAGGCTTTTTTTGTTGGTAGGCTATTAATTACTGCCTCAATTTCAGAACTTGTTATTGGTCTATTCAGGAACTGGATTTCTTCTTAGTTTAGTCTTGGGAGGATGTATGTGTCCAGGAATTTATCCCTTTCTTCTAGATTTTCTAATTTATTTGCATAGAGGTGTTTACAGTATTCTCTGGTGGTAATTTGTATTTCTGTGGGATCAGTGGTAATATCTCCTTTATCATTTTTTATTCTGTCTATTTGATTCTTCTCTCTTTTCTTCTTTATTAGTCTGGCTAGTAGTTTATCTATTTTGTTAATCTTTTCAAGAAACCGACTCCTGGATTCATTGATTTTTGAAGGATTTTTCATGTCTCTATCTCCTTCAGTTCTGCTCTGTTCTTAGTTATTTCTTATCTTCTGCTAGCTTTTGACTTTGTTTACTCTTGCTTCTCTGGTTCTTTTAATTGTGATGGTAGGGCGTTGATTTTAGATCTCTCCCCCTTCCTCCTGTGGGCATGTAGTGCTATAAATTTCCCTGTAAACACTGCTTTAGCTGTGTCCCAGAGATTCTGGTATGTTGTGTCTTTGTTCTCATTGGTTTCAAAGAATCTATTTATTTCTGCCATAATTTTGTTATTTACCCAGTAGTCATTCAGGAGCACATTGTTCAGTTTCCATACAGTTTTACAGTTTTGAGTGAGTTTCTTAATCCTGAGTTCGAATTTGATTAAACTGTGGTCTGAGAGACTGTTTGTTATGATTCCCATTCTTTTGCATTTTCTGAGGAGAGTTTTACTTCCAATTATGTGGTCAATTTTAGAATAAGTGCTATGTGGTGCTGAGAATAATGTATGTTCTGTTGATTTGGGGTGGAGAGTTCTATAGATGTCTATTAGGTCCACTTGGTCCAGAGCTGAGTTCAAGTCCTTAATATTCTTGTTAATCTTCTGTCTAATTGATCTGTCTAATATTAACAGTGGGGTGTTAAAGTCTCCCACTATTATTGTATGGGAGTCTAAGTCTCTTTGTAGGTCTCTAAGAACTTGCTTTATGAATTTGGGTATTCTTGTATTGGGTGCATATATATTTAGGATAGTTGCATTGATCCCTTTACCATTATGTATTGCCCTTCTTTGTCTTCTTTGATCTTTGTTGGTTTAAAGTCTGTTTTATCAGAGACTGGGATTGCAACCCTTGAAGTCTTTTGCTTTGCATTTGCTTGGTAGATGTTCCTCCATTCCTTTACTTTGAGCCTATGTGTGTCTTTGCACATGAGATGGGTCTCCTGAATACAGCACACTGATGGGTCTTGACTCTTTTTCCAGTTGGCCAGTCTGTGTCTCTTAATTGGGGCATTTAGCTCATTTACATTTAAGGTTAGTATTGTTATGTGTGAATTTTATCCTGTCATTATGATGCTAACTGGTTATTTTGCCCATTAGTTAATGCACTTTTTTCATAATGTCGATCATCTTTACAATATGGTATGTTTTTGCAGTGGCTGGTACCGGCTTTTCCTTTCCCCATTTATTGCTTCCTTTAGAAGCTCTTGTAAGGTAGGCCTGGGGGTGACAAAATCTCTCATTATTTGCTGTCTGTAAAGAGTTTTATTTCTCCTTTGCTTATGAAGCTTAGTTTGGCTGGGTATAGAATTCTGGGTTGAGAATTCTTTTCTTTTAGAATGTTGAATATTGGCCCCCACTTTCTTCTGGCTTGTAGGGTTTCTGCAGAGAGATCTGCTGTTAGTCTGAGAGGCTTCTTTTTGTTGGTATTCTGACCTTTCTCTCTGGCTGCCCTTAATATTTTTTCCTTCATTTCAACCTTGGTGAATCTGACAATTACATGTTTTTGGGTTGCTCTTCTTGAGGAGTATCTTTGTGGTGTTCTCTCTATCTCCTGAATTTGAATGTTGGCCTGTCTTGCTAGGCTGGGGAAGGTCTCCTGGATAATATCCTGAAGAGTGTTTTCCAACTTGGTTCCATTCTTCTAGTCACTTTCAGGTATACCAATCAAATGTAGGTTTGGTCTTTTCACATAGTCCCATATTTCTTGGATGCTTTGTTCATTCCTTTTCATTCTCTTTTCTCTAATCTTGGCTTCATGCTTTATTTCATTAATTTGATCTTCCATCTCTTATATACTTTCTTCCACTTGATTGATTCAGCTATTGATACTTGTGTATTCTTTACGAAGTTCTCGTGGTGTGTTTTTCAGCTCCATCAGGTTATTTATATTCTTCTCTAAATTGGTATTCTAGTTAGCAATTCCTCTAAACATTTTTCAAGGTTTTTAGCTTCCTTGCATTGGGTTAGAACATGCTCCTTTAGCTCAGAGGAGTTTGTTATTACCCACCTTCTGAAGCCTACTTCTGTCAATTTGTCAAATTCATTCTCGATCCAGTTTTGTTCCCTTGCTGGTGAGGATTTGTGATCTTTGGAGTAGAAGAGGTGCTCTGATTTTTGGTATTTTCAGCCTTTTTGTGCTGTTTTTTTTTTCTCATCTTCATGGATTTATATACCTTTGGCTTTTGATGTTGGTGACCTTCAGATGGGATCCTGAGTAGACATTTTTCTCTTGATGTTGATACTATTCCTTTCTGTTTGTTAGTATTTCTTCTAACCATCAGGCCTCTCTGCTGCAGGTCTCCTGGAGTTTGCTGGAGGTCCACTCCAGACCCTGTTCACCTGGGTATCACCAGCAGAGGTTGCCGGACAGCACAGATTGCTGCCTGTTCCTTCCTCTGGAAGCTTTGTTTAGGAGGGGCACCTGCTGGATGCCAGCTGGAGCTCTCCTGTATGAGGTGTCTGTCGATCCCTGCTGGGAGGTGTCTTTCAGTCAGGAGGCATGGGGGTCAGCGACCCACTTGAGGAGGCAGTCTGTTCCTTAGCAGAGCTCGGGCACTGTGCTGGGTGATCCACTGCTCTCCTCAGAGCTGGCAGTCACGAATGTTTAAGTCTCGAATTTGTTAATTCTTAATAAAAATGATACACATTTCTCATGTGCTCACATGATCACAGCTGTACTGTTAATATAATATGTAGCTGAATGAGAAAATAGTTAATTGAAAAAGTGATTATGATGTGAATAATGCTTTTTAGTAATTTCTTTGTCAATTAAATATTTTTCAGTTTTTATTGTTAATTAAGAAATTGATACACAACTATTGTACATGTTTCTGAGGTGCTTGTGATATTTTGATAAATCTCTATGATAACAATAATTTATTGTTTATTTCAAAATAGCTAGAAGAAAGACTTAGCATGTTCCCGACACAAATAAATGCTATATTTCTTTTTTCCCCCACTAAATATTATGTTTAATGTTTTACTGGTTCATGTAAAAATGTATTTATTTTCACTTCTGACTTGAACATGAGTTGCTTTCAAAGTTACGTTATCTCTGTTACCATAATTATTATTGGACACATTAATAGTTTAGTTTTATGATTACTCTTTTATCATCTGTGTATTCAGAGATCAGTTTACCCTACTTTTGAGATAAGAATAAATGGAAAACATGAATCCTACAAACTGGTTATGACAATCAATGGTAGCAGTACATTTTAAAGAAATATCACTGACCCCAAAAATCCATCAGAGACTATTTCGAGCACCTCTATGCACAAAAACTAGAAAACCTAAAAGAAATGGCTGAATTCCTAGAAACACACTACCTTTCAAGATTCAACCAAGAAGACAGTAAAACCCTGAACAGACCAATAATGAGTTCTGAAATTGAATCAGTAATTTAAAAACTTACAAATCAGAAAAAGCCCTGTACCAGGCAAATTCACAGCTGAATTCCACTAGACATATAAAGAAGTGCTGGTACCAATTCTACTGAAACTATTCCAAAAAATAGAGGAGAAGTTACTCCTCCATGTTATACATGTCCATGTGAAGAGACCACCAAACAGGCTTTGTGTGAGCAATAAAGCTTTTAATCACCTGGGTGCAGGCAGACTGAATCCGAAAAAGGAGTCAGCAAAGGGAGATGGGGTGGGGCAGTTTTCTAGGATTTGTGTAGGTAGTGGAAAATTACTGTTAAAGGGGGTTGTTCTCTTGCAGGCAGGGGCAGGGGTCACAAGGTGCTCAGTGGGGAGCTCCTGAGATTCACTGTCCAGGAGAAGGAGTGTCACAAGGTCAATGCTCAGTTAGGGTGGGACTGGAACAAATCACAGTGGTGGAATGTCATCAATTAAGGCAGGAACTGGCTATTTTCACTTCTTTTATGGTTCTTCAGTTGCTTCAGGCCATCTGGATGTATATGTGCAGGTCACAGGGGATATGATGGCTTAGCTTGGGCTCAGAGGCCTGACATTACTGTCTTCTTATATTAATAAGAAAAACAAAACAAAATAGTGGTGATGTGTTGGGGGCAGCAAAAATTTTGGGGGGGGTGGTATGGAGAGATAATGGGCAATGTTTCTCAGGGCTGCTTCAGGCAGGATTAGGGGTGGCATGGGAACCTAGAGTGGGAGAGATTAAATTGAAGAAACATTTTGTGGTAAGGGGTGATATCGTGGGGTTGTTGGAAGGAGCATTTGTTGTATAGAATGATTGGTGATGGCCTGGATGCAGTTTTGTATGAACTGAGAAACTAAATGGAAGACACTAGGTCTGAATAAGAGAAGGAGAAAAACAGGTATTAAAGGGCTAAGAATTTGGAGGACCCAGGACATCCAATTAGAGAGTGAGTGCCCAAGGGGGTTCAGTGTAATTATTTGCTTGGTTGGTGAGTTTTTGGGCTCTATCCATGAGTTTTTTTAGGTTGTCGTATACCAGGCCAGATTGATTTAGGTAAAAACAATACTCTTCATTTAAAAATATAGAGTCTCCCTTTTTCAGCAGTGAGTAAGTCAAGGCCTCATGGTTTTGGAGGACAACCGCAACTGAAGAGTCAACCTGCGCCTGAAGGACTGATAAAGATTGTGATATGTCTGCAATGCTAGCAGAGAAGTCATTAGAGAGGCTACAGAAGGTTGTGGCAGAGGTTGAATTGCCTGCTATTCCAGTTCCAAGAGCAATAGTGGAGGCAGAAAATATTGGAGTGTGCCCTGCCAGCAAAGATCATCTATCCACTCCAAGAGGGAGTCGAGAGTGGCAGTTTGGGGATAGCACCATGAGATATCAGCTGTGATGGTTTGGAGGAAAAGTGGAAACTGGCAGTGTAAACAAGAGCAGGGCATTTATGAGTAGGTGAGAATGGTGAATTGGAAAATAGCAGGGATGAAAAAGCTTGTGAGTTGCAGTCCAAGAAGTGGGGGCGGGTGTGACTGCATAAAACCCTGTTGTAGAGAGTAAGGCAAGGAAGAACAGACCTAATAAAAATGAAAGGATGTGTTAGGCTTATAAGGGTTATTACTGTTCTTTAGAAATGCGAATGAGTTTTAAGGGAAGTAGGGGAGAGTACTCGCAACTTCCAGGAGGAAGAGGAGAGATCTGGCTGGCTGTCCAATGGACACAGCTTTATTCTGTAATGGTGAACTCAATGGGGAGATTCCTGTAGATGGACGGAAGTTGGGGTGCTATAGATGACTAGGTAGGGTCCGTTCCATCGAGGCTGTAGAGTTTCAGGGGTCAGACTCTTAACAAGAACCGATCATCCAGCTAGGGTGTCTTCATATGGCTGGGAATCTGGAGTAGGCAAGAGAAGATTAGCAGCCTGGCGAATTTCCTGTCTAGCCTGCTGGAGGACTGGAAGATAGTTGCCCAGAGGGCTGGTGTCTGGAATAAGATTGGGGCTGAGCAAGAAAGTGTGTCTATATAAAAGTTCAAATGGACTGTACCCTGTAGCATCTCGAGGGCAGGCTCTAATTCTGAGAAAGGCAAGTGGTAGAAGTACTGTCCAGTCCTTTTTAAGTTAGAGGCTGAGCTTGGTGAGGTGTGTTTTTTAAAGAGCATTAGTCCATTTTACCTTTCCTGAAGATTGAGGACAGTAAGGGGTATGAAGTTTCCACTGAATACCAAGAACCTGAGAGACAGCTTGGGTGATTTGACTAATAAAAGCTGGACCATTGTCAGATTGAATAGAAGTAGGGAGGCCAAATCAGGGAATTATATCTGTTAGAAGGGAAGAAATGACTGCAATAGGCTTTTTGGAACTAGTGGGAAAGTCCTCGAGCCATCCGGTGAAGGTGTCGATCCAAACCAGGAGATACTTAAATTTACGGACATGGGGCATATGAGTAAAGTCTAACTGCCAATCATGAGTTGAAGTAAATCCACAAGCCTGATGCTCAGGAAAAGGAGGAGGCCTGAGAAAGCCTTGGGGGCTGGTGGCATGGCAGACAGAGGATTGAGAGGTTATGGTCTTAAGGATGGACTTCCATGAAGAGAAGGAGATGAGGAGCTGCAGGAATCAAGCCACAGGCTTGTATCCCACATGGAAGTGGTCATGAAGGGAAGAAAGAATGGACTGAGCTTGTGAGGCAGGAAGAATGAATTTTCCATGATTTATAAGAACCACTTGCCTTGAGTTGGAAAAGACTGGTAGAGCAGGTTTTCAGAAAAGTAGGTGGGAGTGTTGGAGGAGAAGGAGAAATACTGGACCTCTGGAGTGAGGGCTGGAATATTAGTGGATGTGGAGGCATCAGCTATTTCTTTTGCCGTCCTGTTGGCATAGGCATTTCCTTTTGCAATAAGATCAGTAGGTTTCTGGTGCCCTTTATAATGAATGACTCCAGCCTTGGCTGGCAGGAAAGCAACCTTAAGGAGGGCCTTTGTTAGGGAGGCATTGATAATGGAAGAGCCTTGTGTGGTAAGGAAGCCTCTTTCAGCCCAGAAGGCAGCATGGTTATGGAGGATATAGAAAGCATATCTGGAGTCAGTATAAATGTCAATGTGCATTCCTTTAGTGAGAGAATGCGGTAGTTAAAGCAATCAGTTCAGCTTATTCGGAAGTGGTGGAGGGAAGTGCAGCAGCTTCAATAGTAGCGGTGTGGGACACGACAACATATCTAGCTTTAGCTGGTGAAAATTGATTGGGTTTAGAAGAACTGCCATCAATAAACCAAGTGTGGTCTGTGTTTGGAATTGGCAGAATAGGAATATGAGGACGGGGGAGGATGCTATGTTTATTAGGGAAATACAGTCAGGTGGTTCAGGACTTGTGCTGGGTGCTAAGTGAGAAAGTGGGTTGAAATCAGGCCTATGGATAATAGTTACTGTTGGAGTTTTAACAAAGAGTGAATAGAGCTGGAGGAGTTGAGGGGCAGACAATAAATGTGAAAGGTATGGGGAGGATATTAATGCTTGAAGGTTGTGAGAACTGTAAAGGGTAAGTGGAGCATAGCCTGTGATTTTGAAGGCCTCTAGAAGTATTAAAGCAGTGCCTGCCGCCCCATGCAGAGCCAGCCCAGAACTGTGAGGTCAAGTTTCTTTGATAGAAAGGCAACAGGTTGTGAGCCTGGCTCCTGTGTGAGGACTCCGGCAGCACAGACTTGTATTTCCGCTGTGTGTAAGGAAAAGGGATGGGACGAGTTGGGGAGTGCAAGTGTAGGAGCTGTCTCCAGGACCTTTTTGAGAAAGTGAAAGGAAGAATGGGGAAAAGACTTAGGATCTATGGGATTAGTTAAGTTATCCTTTGTGAGCTTGTAAAGTGGTTTTGGTTAGAATAGCAAAGCCTGGTATCCAGAGTTGGAAATATCCAACAATGCCTAAGAAGGAAAGGAGTTGTTTGGTGGTGGGGATTGGGGTCTGGGAGATTAACTGAATACGGTCTGCAGGAAGGGCACATGTATGTTGATGGAGGATTATACTGAGATAGGTAACACTAGGAGAAGAAATTTGTGCCTTGGAGGGGGATACTTGGTACCCCTTTCAGTAGAGATGTTGAAGAAGCAGGATAGTGTCCTGCTGGGAAGATTAGTAAGAGGGGCTGCAAAGGAGATCATCAAAATATTGAATAAGGTGAGAGGCAGATGGGGAAGAAGAAAGCAGATCATGAGAAGGGGCCTGGCCAAAGTAGTGTGGGCTGTCCCTGAAGCCTTGGGGCAGAACAGTCCAGGTGAGTTGTTGGGATTAGTGGGTGTCAGGGTCAGTCCAAGTAAAGGCAAAAAGAGGCTGGGAGGAGGGATGCAAGGGGATAGTAAAGAAAGCATCTTTGAGGTCGATAACAGAATAGTGAGTTGTGGAAAGGGTTATTGAAGATAGGAGGGTGTACAGGTTTGGCACTATAGGATGGATGGGAAGGACAATTTGATTAACAAGGTGAAGATCCTGAACCAACCTGTAAGACTTGTCCAGTTTCTGGAGGGGTAGGATAGGGGAGTTGTAAGGAGAATTTGTAGGCTTTAAGAGGCCATGTTGTAACAGGTGAGTTATAACAGGCTTTAACCCTTTTAAAGCCTGCTGTGGGATGGGATATTGGCGTTGAGCAGGGTAAGGGTGATTAGGTTTTAATGGGATGATAAGGGGTGCATGATCGGTTGCCAAAGTAGGAGTAGAGGTATCCCATACGTGTGGATTAAGGTAGGGAGACATAAGGGGAGGATGTGAAGGAGACTTTGAACTGGGGAAAAGGGTGGCAATGAGGTGTGGCTGTAGCCCAGGAATAGTCAGAGAAGCAGATAGTTTAGTTAAAATGTCTTGACCTAATAAGGGAGCTGGGCAGGTGGGGATAACTAAAAAGGAGTGTATAAAAGAATGTTGTCCAAGTTGGCACCAGAGTGGGGGAGTTTTAAGAGGTTTAGAAGCCTGACCATCAATACCCACAACAGTTATGGAGGCAAGGGAAACAGGCCTTTGTAAAGAAGGTAATGTGGAGTGGGTAGCCTCCGTATCAATTAAGAAGGGACTTACCTCCACTGTAAGTTACCTGAAGTGTCTGTGATGGTCCAGGAGGCTTCTGAGGCAATCAGGCAGCATCAGTCTTCAGCCACTAAGCCAAGAAGATCTGGGAAGGAGTCAGTCAGAGAGCCTTGGGGCAGAGTTCCAGGGGCTCTGGGAGTGGCTTTTGGGCAAGCTGGACAGTCCGATTTCGAGTGGGGACCTGCACAGATAGGACACGGCTTAGGAGGAATCCTGGGCTGCGGGCATTCCTTGGCCCAGTGGCCAGATTTCCGGCACTTGAAGCAAGATCCTGGGGGAGGAGGTCCTGGAGGAATGCCTGGCCACTGTGGTTTAGGCGTTTTGAAGTTCTTGTGTGCTGGAGATGTGGCTGGGGTTTCTCTCAGAGCGGAGGCAAGTAATTGCAATCCAGAAATACATTGCCGCTTGGCTGCCTCTTCTCTATTATTGTACACCTTGAAGGCAAGGTTAATTAAGTCCTGTTGTGGGGTTTGAGGGCGGAATCTAATTTTTGAAGCTTTTTCTAATGTTGGGAGTGGATTGGGTAATAAAATACATATTGAGAATAAGATGGCCTTCTGGTCCCTCTGGGTCTAGGGCGGTAAAGCATCTAAGGGTTGTTGCCAAACCAGCCACGGACTGGGCTGGGTTTTTATATTTGATGAAAAAGAGCCTAAACGCTAACCAATTTGGGAGAGGTCAGATAAAGAAAAAAGGAGCATTAATCTTGACTATGCCTTCAGCTCCGGCCACCTCTCTAAAATGAAATTGTTGGGCAGGTCGGGGAGAGCTACTTACAGAAAGAAACTGTAAGCCAGACTGGGTGTGAAGAGGTGAGGTGATAGAAGCATTATAGGGTGGGAGAGTGGAGGTTGAGGAAGAATTGGGACCTGGCTCGGCCTGGTGAGGAGCAGCCTGGGGAGGAGGGGCAAGGTCAGATGGATCTGTAGAAAAAGAGGATTCAAAGGACTCAGAGCTTGGGGTGGAGACTGAAGGAACACATAGGAGAGAAAGAAGAAATATTTGGCACGAGTTGCAATGGGAGCAGAGACTAGGGAGGGACCGATGTGTAAAGAATGCCTGGACATCAGGCACCTCAGACCATTTGCCCATTTTACAACAAAAATTATCTAGATCTTGTAGGATAGACAAATCAAAAGTGCCATTCTCTGGCCACTTGAAACTATTGTTGAGTGTGTATTGGGGCCAAGTGGTATTACAGAAGAAAATAAGATGTTTAGGTTTTAGGTCAGGTGTTAGTCGAAGGGGTTTTAGGTTTTTAAGAACACAGGCTAAGGGAGAAGAAAGGGGAATGGAGGGCAGAAGGTTGCCCATAGTGAAGGAGGTGAGTTTAAAGAGAAAAGTAGAGACACAGAGAAGGTGGGGGTGAGTAGCCGTGGGCTGTAATGTGGGTGAGCAGCCAAAGCAGGTGTCCCCACAACTGACTTGTCACCAAGGGAATGTGGGTGAATGACCAAGGCAGGCATCCTCACGGTGATCAGACACCAGTGGAATGTGGGTGAATGATTGAATGATCAAGGCTGGCGTCCCAGCAGTGATCAGACACCAATGGAATGTGGGTGAATGATCAAGGCAGGCATCCCTGTGGTGATCAGACACCAATGGAATGTAGATGAATGATCAAGGCAGGCATCCCCGCTATGATCAGACACCGAGGGAAGACCATCTTCCCATATCCGTGACCGACGTCGGAGTTTTTGAGTTCACGGATAAAATGTGTCTCCTTTGTTTCCACTAGAGAGGAAAAAGAACTGGAATTGGAAGAACAGGGAGATTGAAGGGTAGCGAGAGAAGCTGGAGAAGAGTGAAGAGACTGCTTACCTGATTTGAAATTGGTGAGATGTTCCTTGGGCTGGTCTGAGGACCTGAGGTTGTAGGTGGATTTCCTCACGGAGTGAGGGTGAGGACAGGGGGCTGGTCTCCTGGAGCAGTCCCCCTGTCCCAGGTCTTCGGCACCAAATGTTATGTGTGTCCACGTGAAGAGACCACCAGACAGGCTTTGTGTGAGCAATAAAGCTTCTTAATCACCTGGGCATAGGCAGAATGAGTCCAAAACAGAAGTCAGCAAAGGGAGATAGGGGTGGGGCAGTTTTATAGGATTTGGGTAGGTAGTGGAAAATTATAGTTAAAGGGGGTTGTTCTCTTGCATGCAGGTGCAGCAGTCGCAAGGTGCTCAATGGGGAGCTCCTGAGATTCATTGTCCGGGAAAAGGAATGTCACAGGGTCAATTGATCAGTTAGGGTGGGGCAGGAACAAATCACAATGGTGGAATGTCATAAGTTAAGGCAGCAACTGGCTATTTTCACTTCTTTTGTAGTTCTTCAGTTGCTTCAGGCCATCTGGATGTATATGTGCAGGTCACAGGGGATATGATGGCTTAGCTTGGTCTCAGAGGCCTTACACTCCCTAACTCATCTTATGAGGCCAGCATCACTCTGATACCAAAGCCTAGCAGAGGCACAACAAAAAAAAAATTTTAGGCCAATATGCTTGATGAACATGGGTGCAAAAATCCTCAGCAAAATACTAGCAAACTGGATCCAGCAGCATATCAAAAACTTAATCCACCACAATCAAGTAGGCTTTATTTCTGGGATGCGAGGTTGGTTCATCACCCACACATCAATAAATGTGATTCACTACATAAACAGAACTAAAAGCAAAAACCATGTGATAATCTCAACAGACAGAAATGGCTTTTGATGAAATTCAACATCCCTTCATGTTAAAAACCCTCAACACACCAGACATTGAAGAAACATTCCTCAAAATATTGAGAGCTATGTATGACAAACCTGCAGCCAACATCATACTACATGGGCAAGAGCTGGAATTATTCCCCTTGAGAACCAGAACAAGACAAGGATGTCCCCTCTCATTACTCCTATTCCAAATAGTACTGGAAGTCCTAGCCAGAGCAATCAGGCAAGAGAAATAAATCAGGCAAGAGAAAGAAATAAAAGTCATCCAAATAGGAAGAGGGAAAGTCAAACGATCTCTCTTCAGAGATGATATGATTATATACCTAGAAAACTCCACTCTCTGCCAAAAGGCTCCTAGATCTGATAAACGATTTCAGAAAAGTTTCAGAATACACAATGAATGTGCAACTATTAGTAGCATTTATATACACCAATAACATCCAAGCTGAAAGCCAAATAAAAATGCAATCCATTTACCATAGCCACAGAAAGAATGAAATACCTAGGAATACAGCTAACCAGGGAAGTGAAAGATCTCTGCAATGAGAATTAAAAAACACTGCTGAAAACCAGAGATAACATAAACATATGGAACAGCTTTTCATGCTCATGGATAGGAAGAATCAGTATTGTTAAATGGGCATACTGCCCAAAGCAATTTACAGATTCAATGGTACTACTAGTGTGAAAGGAAAATGTCTTGAGCCCCCCAAATCACTAAGGAAAACTCAAGCTGGAAACCGCTTAGGGCAAACCTGCCTCCCATTCTATTCAAAGTCAACCCTCTGCTCAGTGAGAGAGAATCATATCTAATTACCTCCTTTGGAAAGGCTAATCAGAAACTCAAAAGAATGTAATCGTTTGTGTATCACCTAGTGTAACCTGGGAGCTCCCTCTCTGCTTTGAGTCTTCTTTCCTTTGCTTCAAGTTGTCCCACCTTTCCAGACCAAACCACTGTACTTCTTACATATATAGATTGATGTCTCATGTCTCCCTAAAATGTGTAAAACCAAGCTGTGCCCTGACCACCTTGGGCACATGTCATCAGGACTTCCTGAGGCTGTCACAAGTGCTTCCTCAACCTTGGCAAAATAAACTTTCTAAATTAATGGAGACCTGTCTCAGACTTTCTGGGTTCACACTAGCAATCTACCAATAACATTTTTCACAGAATTAGAAAAAAAATGATTCTAAAATTTATATCAAACAGCAACAACAAAAAAGCCTGAATAGTCAAAGCAACCCTAAGCAAAAACAAACAAACAAAAAACACAAAACCAAACACACACACACACACACACACACACACACAAAACAAAGCTGGAGGCATCACATTACCTGACTTCAAGCTATACTGCAAGGCTACCATAATTAAAACAACATGGTACTGGTACAAAAACAGACTCATAGATCAATGGAATCAGTTAGAGAACCCAGGAATAAAGCCTCACACTTACAGTAATCTGATCTTTGACAAAGCCAACAATAATAAGCAATGGGGAATGACTCTGTATTCAGTAAATGGCGCTGAAAAAACTGGACGGCCATAATCAGAATATCGAAGCTGGACAACTACTTTTCACTATATACAAAAATCAACTCAAGATGGGTTAAAGACTAAACTGTAGAACCTAAAAGTGTAAAAATCCTAGAAGAAAACCTAGGAAATGCCATTCTGTACATCGGCCCTGACAAATACTTTATAATGAAGACTCCAAAAGCAATTGCAACAAAACAAAAATTCACAAGTATGACCTAATTAAACTAAAGAGCTTCTGCACAGCAAAAGAAACTATCAACAGGATATGCAGACAACCTATAGGATGGGACAAAATATTTGCAAAGTATATCTGACAAAAGTCTAATATCCAGAATCTATAAAGAACTTAAATCAACAAGCAAAGAAAAGGGAATGCTTATACACTACTGGTGGGAATGTAAATTAGTTCAGCCACTGTGAAAAGCAGTCGGAGATTTCTCAAAAAACTTAAAACATAACTACTATTTGACTCAGCAATCCCATTACTTATATATCCAAAGGAATATAAATCATTTAGCCATAAAGACATATGCATGTATATGTTAACTGTAGCACTATTCACAATAGCAAAGACATGGAATCAACTTAGATTGCCATCAATGGTGGACTGGATTTAAAAAATGTGGTTGGCTGGGTGTGGTGGCTCACGCCTGTAATCCCAGCACTTTGGGAGGCCGAGGCGGGCAGATCAGGAGGTCAAGAGATCGAGACCATCCTGGGCAACATAATGAAACCCAACTACTAAAAATTAAAAAATTAGCTGGGAGTGGTGGTGCGCACCTGTAGTCCCAGCTACTTTGGAGGCGGAGGCAGGAGAATCACTTGAACCTGGGAGGCAGAGGTTGCAGTGAGCCAAGATTGCGCCACTGCACTCCAGCCTGGTGACAGAGTGAGACTTCGTCTCAGAAAAAAAAATAAATGTGGTTCATTTTTGAGGGATAGTTTTCCTGGATATAAGACTCTTGGTTCAACGTTCTTTTAGAACTTTGGCTGTCATCCCCACTGCCTTCTAGTCTCCAGTATTTCTGATGAGAAGTCAGATGATAATCTTACTGAGGTTCTCTTGTACATGATGAGTCATTTTCCTCTTGCTGCTTTCAAAACTGTCTCTTTGACTCTAGCTTTTAGTGTTCCTATTATGATGCAACTGAATGTGAATATTTTTACATTAATCCTATTTAGAGAAAGGAGCTTTTTAGATATATAATTTTTTTCATCAACTTTAATGTTTCAGCAATTAATTCTTTGAATATTTTTTTAACTTGCTTCTCTCTGCTCCTTTGATACTTCCATTATGTGTACTTTGGTGTCATCAGTGGTATTCCATACTTGTCTGAGGATCTGTTCATTTTATTTTTTTCTTGTTGCTCAGATTGCATAATCTCTATCAGCCTATCTTCAAGTTCACTGATTCTTTCTTCCATCAGTTCAAATCTACTGTTGAGCTCCTCTAGTGAAGTTTTCACTGTGCTTTTCAACTCTAAAGTTTCCATTTGTTTCATTTTTAAAATACTTTATCTCCCTTTTTAGTAGTCTCTATTTGATGAGACACTCTTATCATACCTTCTTTTACTTCTTTAAGCATGATTTTATTTCCTTGAACATATTTATATTGGTTGTTTTGATCTATGATAAATCTGACATTTGGGGCCTCTCACTGGCAGTTTCTATTGTCTGCTCGTTTACTTGTGTATCAGTCATGCTTTCCTATTTTTTTACAAGTCTCATAGTTTTTTTGTTGAAAACTAGACATTTGAGTAATATAATGTTACTAAATTAAAACTAGACATTGTAGTAACTTTGTATACTGACTCCCCGTCCTGGGTCTTGTTTTATTTTTTGTTTGTTAGTGACTTGGCCAGGCTATTTTAGTAAATTTCCTCCACAGTGTGAAGCCTCTGGTGTTACCCTTCAGAGAGCACAGCCTTGGGCATGGACATAAACAACCTGGGATGAGAATAGTTTGAGCAGGGCTTTGGATGTCTTGTCTTTGCAATGTCATTTGCTGATTTTTGTTAACCAGTCTTCGTCATTTGGTATTATACTCAGCTGGGAGGATCCATTAATTGCTGGCTGGGTGCTCTATTGGTTTTGATAATGCCCTGGGGACATAAATTGCTCCACAGTGTGATCTAATTTTGCAGGGGTAGTTCTTGAGGTCACTTTTTGAGATTTGTTCTGACCCCAGAAAAGCTCTTTCCCTGGTTGTCACTGGTAAACTCACTGTTTTATGGCCTAGCTTGTTGTCTCATAGAGTCTCAGCCTTGTCTTAACTCCTTAGCACCAAATATTCATTGTTTTTTAATGTACCCTTAGGCTTGAACTTTCAACACTCTGCTTCAAATACAGTCAGTTTCTTTGGACAGAGCTTTTGAATGTTCTGTTCTTCCCCTGTCCCTAGACAAAACCTTCTATGCCACTGTTCCAAGGGCAGTGCACTGAAGAGTGGTAGCTTTTACTTTTCTTTGCTTGCCTCTCCCAGTGTTGGACCTCTGTTTATGAGTGAGCTAGGGCAAAGGTGATAAGAGTTCCAGTATTCTTGGCTCAACATGCTTGGCATAGGGTATCCACCTTATGTATGGAGTGCAGGAAGGTAGCCCCAGTCTTTTGTTTAGATCTCTGGGAATGTAGCCTTGACAACTCAGAAGTGAAAGTGATAAGAAATGCTGGCATTCTGCCCCTCTCAGTGAGATACTATATTCCTTGACTGGGAGCTGAGGGGAAAGGAATCCTTTTCTTCTTGGCCACACCTGTCCAGAGTGGAGCTTCCATCACACTGAGCTGGGTAGGAAAGCAGGCTGTGGCTCAAGTGCCATAGACTCTTGCTCTTCTTAGTGAGATTTAGTAGAGTATCTTGAATAAGTATTACTTCATTTGTTGTTTTCTCTTAAGACAATTTTCAGAGACTTGGAATTAAAAAAATTGTATCAGTCATGGTTGTTTTACAGGGCAATGAGCCACACCACCATTATGGAAGTGCCATTATAATTTATGAACATTTCTTTAAAAATCATAACTGATTAAAAGTATTTATAAATCAAAATATGAACATGTTATTATTTTTCAGATATTATCAAAACAAAATTTGAGAAAAAGGATATATCATAAATTTTAATAGAAAATTCAATGATGGATAAACCACGTGGTTCGATAGGACCCAAACGAAACCATTAATATACATAGCAGAAAAATACTGCTTTTCTTAATAAAAATAGCTTTTGACTTTTTATTTCCCCAAAATTAAAAATGTTTCTACAAAAAATGGGCAAATATCCTAAAAGACATTTTGGAAAAAAAGAAATAAACACATATGAAAATAATTTCAATCCTATTCTAATTAGTAAGTTGAAATTGAAAAGTTGAGGCATTTTTTCGTCCTGAAATGGCTTATATTTAAGTGACTGTTAGGAACCAACCATGTTGCAAATGTTTAGAAAATGATCAGTTTCATAATCTATGTGGAGAAGGATAAATTCTTTTTGTAAGACAATTTGCTGTTATCTTTCACAATAAAAATGTACATAAAAATATTTTGAACTAACTTTGATTAATTTCATTTCTAGGAGTTTATTCTGCATGCATCCTAAAATATTTGTGAAACATTACTTTCATGTAAAAAATTGGAAACAGCACACATGATCATCAAGAACGAGCTAGTTAACTGAATATTATATACATTTAACATAATTACACAAGTTTGCATATACTCATATAGAAACAGGGTCAAATTATATTCGTAATTAAAAGTGGTAGAGCATTGAATATATCGTATTTCATTTGAATGATATAATGCAGCATAATTTGTCTTACTGCGACATTATTGGTTTTTGGAGGGTGATGTGCCTCATGTTAGAAGAGTTACATATTTAATTTTCACTTTATACTCTAATAAATATATTCTTTATATATGTAACAAAATTTGAATTATTCAAAATAACTTAAAATTTGAAAATAATTAAGCAATTTATTTTGATTCTGTTACTTAGGTTTGACAAACAACATAGTAAAGGACATATCTTTTTATATAATTCCCAAAGCATTAATGTGATTAAAGGATGTGTGTTTTATCATATACAGTGTCTACCATTGTCTGAGGTGCTTTGATTCTACAACTTAAAACTTTCCAGCTGCTGCAGTTTCTGACTGCACAATATTATACTCACAAAATTAAAATCATTACCAAATGATTTTCTTACAATATGTCAAACAATTTAGTGAGTTAAAAATAGATGTGATTTAAAAAAGTAAAATAAAAAAAGATTCTTGAAAAATATGCATTTTGGTTTAGATCCTTGTCTTAGTCAAATTAAAAAAGAAAACAAAACCTATTAGAGTCTACTAGATCAATGCACTCTTTGTGGCTTAAATTTGTTTGTGTAAGTTCTACTACTAGCTATTTACTGCTAAACTCACTTTCTCACTAATGGTTTGCTCATAAATTTTTTCTTCTAACAAAAAACGTATCAGTTCAAATAAAAAGATGAGAAGTTTTCTTTTCTCAGATGTTTGGTTATTCTTCTTGAAAGCAGACAATTCACTATAAATTACTTTCAAGGGCTTTGGTTTCCTATATTTTTACTGCATTTCTCCTCAACTTCCAAGTTAAAACTAAGATACAACTTGACATTTATTTTTCTGAAGCATCATGTGCATTACGGCTTTTATATTCTAAAGGTGTGAGAAAGGAAAAATGGAACACACATTGGGAATGTTGACGCTGGATTGTGCTTTTATCTGTAGTTATTCATGTTTCAGGCAGTTCATTCCTACTTTCTGAGAAATTGATGAGTTGTTGTGTTTGTCCTTGCTATCTGTCTTTCTGGATAATGGGAAAATTCTCAAGGATTCTGAATAAGAGACTCATATTTGATGTTTAAAGTCAAAGGAGGAGCAAGGGAGATTTTCACATAAGCAGTTATTTACCAGAGGGAAGGGCAGGGCCCAAGGGATCTCATTATGAAGTGAATGGAATTACTGGCATTGATGATCTCACTTTGTTCCTATCCCAAAAGATTCTGTTACTTTAGATTTTAACTTCTCCCAATGCTATGTGAAGCAATTAAAACGTTTCAGATAAATTTCATAGTAGTTCGTACAGCAAAATTACTTTTAGAGTTTTTTCTCTTCAAGGAAATACACAATAAAATAATTAACTGTTCAGAATGAAAGTGAACTAGCTAAAACTCAACCCAATGTCTTTCATTTTCAGACACTAGGAATTTGTCAAAGCAACCAGATCACCAGGGACTAGCAACAATATCTAATAACCCCCTTCTTCAGGGATGATTAGCTAGTTAAGTGCCTGGAATGTCTCTGTAGACAAGACTTGAGGGAAAAAGCTTTAATATTATGTTGCTTCATTGCCAGATCTATTCATAAAGGGATTATTCTACCTCTCAGATGAGAAAATCTGAATCTGCAAACTGGCTTAATATGGAAACTGGGTAAAAAGCCATGAATCCCTATTATATTGTTTCAAGTTATGTTTCTGTCTCCACACCTAGAATTTTTTCTGCTAATATACTCCAGCTAACATCTTAGTAGGTATCTTAGTCCATTTGGGTTGCTATAACAAAATACCATAAACTGGGTAGCTAATAAACAAAAAAAATTTACTTATCATAGTTCTAGAAGTTAGGAAGTCTGACATTAAGGTTCTGGCAGATTGGTGTCTGGTGAAGGCCCCTTTATGGTTCACAGATGGTGTCTTCTCACTGTGTCTTCACATGGTGGAAGAGACAAAGCAGCTCTCTGAGGCCTCTTCTATAAAGGCATGAATTCCATTCAAGAAGGCTGTGCCCTCATGATTTAATCACCTCCCAAGGGCCTACCTGCTAACACCATCACACTGGTGATTAGGTTTTAACATGTTTTGGGGGACACAGACATTCACAATACAGTGGTAGGTTACCAAATATTGTGTTTTTAAGTACCGTTTGATAAACTGTGTATCACTACAGGTCCCTGTAGGTCACAATACCCTAGTCAATGTGACTTACTTGTAGTAACTACTTCCACTTTGTCTATGATGGTGTCACTTCCTGGCATTTAATTTTCCAGAATTATCATTTTTCTCAAGACCATATAATCCAATTTCAGTTTCATTCCCCACCATCAGCTCTGCACCAAAGAATTCAGATGCCACAGAGCATTTTAAGACCACTGATGCCCTCCTCACTGATCCATTTCTTAATGCTATAGGGAAGAAAATGTCTTCCAATCTTATAGCACAGGGTCTTATGTACAGAGGGCAGATGGCCATACTGTATTAGATTACAAAATCTCTATTGACTACTGATTCCTTATTTTACAAGGTACTGTGGAAATTCTAGCTTTTCAACCTCATTAGCTATAGGCTATCTCTGAGTTCAAGCTTCAGTGAGCTAATGTGAAAGAAGATCAATAACACTTTCAGGAGTTTGAGCCAATGCTTGTATCCTGTGCTCTGGGTGATAGCACTCATGTCATTAAATTCAGTTCATTCAAGCTCTGTATTTCATATTCCTTGACATCCACCCCCAAACATACTCTTAAAGTTCTCATCTATATCGTAAGAAACTGCATATCTTTTTTTGTTAATAGACCATGTTATTATGGAGCAGTATTTGTGTTTAACCGTATCTCTTTGTTGTTATAATTTTCCCTGATGATTGGTGAAGTTGGGCACATTTTCATGTGTTGGCCATATGGCTATCCTCTTTTGTGAAGTGATTGTTCTATCACGTTGTTTGTGTTTTTTCTTACTGATTTGTAGAAATTCTTTTTATATTCTGAATAGTTCTTACACACACACACACATTGCCTCTCTTAATGGACCTCCTTTATATATTTGATTTGTTAATATTTAGGGATGTTTGCAACTGTGTTTATGAAAGATACTGATAAACATTTTTTATTTTTTTGTAAATCCTTGTAATGTTTTTAAGTCTAGCTTATGCTGGCCTTATAAAAAGAATTAATGAATACAAAATGTTTACTTACTACCAACTTATATAAAAAAGATTAGTGAAGTTGTTGAATGAACACAAAAATTTAAAACTAAGAATGATTTATTAACATTGTAACCATATCAACATCCATATCCAATCTAGTCCTACATTTTATTTTAGTAGCAAAATTTTGAGAAAGTCCAGATTCCTGCAGCAAATAGCTACAAATAGAAGTATATTTTAGACCAGTAACCTAATATGTCTTAAAATAGGTAGAGATGGCAGGAGTATTTGGAATCTAAACAAAAATGTTTTAATCTTAATAGGAACAGATGAATGGTGAATTATAGCCAAAACTCATAGTTAACACATGAATTAATGAATTTTTGTTATAGTATAATAGTTTAATTATATTTAAAATTATTAAATAATATAAATTATAATCTGAATTTAATCTTTATAAAATGCTCCCCCGTACCCCAGTTGACATAACCCTTAGACTTTACGGAACCTGTTTTGTTGCCACAACTGTAGATGAATCATCCAAGATAATAAGTAGTGTTTTTGAAAGACATTTTTAATTTTTTAAAGAATGAACCCTTGACAATGAGGGACATTGATACTAAAATACAAGCAAAATTTTTAGGTATTTTCTTTTTCAGATGATGACTACTACTAAAATAAGTTGACTATAATTTAAAGGTTAGACAAAGATAATTTCTTTATTGGGAATTTCTTTTTTTATTTTTATTTTTTGTTTGTTTTTGATTCGGAGTCTCGCTCTGTCGCCTAGGCTGGAGTGCAGTGTAGCGATCGCGGCTCACTGCAAGCTCCGCCTCCCGGGTTCACGCCATTCTCCTGCCTCAGCCTCCAGAGTAGCTGGGACTTCAGGTGCGAATTTTTTGTATTTTTAGTAGAGATGGGGTTTCACCATGTTAGCCAGGAGGGTCTCGATCTCCTGACCTTGTGATCCCCCTGCCTCGGCCTCCCACAGTGCTGGGATTACAGGCGTTAGCCACCGTGCCCGGCCAGGAATTTCTTGTAAAAAGATGTTAGTGACCTATTGTGTCTCCAGAACCTTTTTCTTTTCCAATAAGCCTTTTCATGGCCCACTTGAACTCCTTATTCCTTAGTGGGATGGGTTCAAGGTGGGAGTAACAATGGAGTAAAATATATGGAGAAGTTTGCCCTCATCCTGAGATGGACTGTTTCCTGGCTCTATATACATATATCTAACAGTCCCATAGAAGATGGATACCACAATGAGATGGGAGAAACAGGTCCCAAATGCTTTTTGTCTTCCTGCTGCAGACTTGATCTTGAGTACAGCCACAGCAATGAAGCCATATGACACAAGAATGAGAAGAAGTGATGCAAGGAAAATGAAAACAACAACAACAACACAATGCAAATAAGGTTTCTGACAGAGCAGGAGCATCACCATCTTGGACAAGCCCCTTATTCTATAGTTCATTTTAATAAAAAACCACCTAATCCAAAGGGCCTCAGCCTAATGGCTAAGGTCAGCACGACCATAAACCACAAATAACATCCCAACCAGAAACCTTCCAAACTCCTCCCCGACCAGAGTCATGCTAGCCTCTAGATAAGCCCTCTCAAGCTGGGAAGATGCTAGCCCAGAGATAACCCCCCTCCAGGCCAGAAAGATGTCTGCCCCAAGATAACCTCCCCTCTTCCCAGAGAGATTCCAACCCCGCCATAAACTTCTCCACACACATAAACATTCCAAGCTTGTAATAAGCCCCCTCACCCTAAAACCAATATATGTTCTTAGCCCCCTCACCCTAAAACCAATATATGAAATCAGCCAGGAGTGCTGTCAGGTTTTAATTAAGGAAAACCTGTCTTTAACTGCCAGCCACGTTTCGTGTTTCTTTCTTCTTTCTTTAACTCTTACAGTTTCCTCCATGACTGTGGTAGCCCCACATGCAATTTTGACCATTGCAGATATTTCACAAAAATAGTGATCCAGGTGGTGGTCTCCGCATCGAGGAAGACTCACAGGACAGGGGGAAAGTATCATGCAATTAGTGACACCAATTAACCAGGTCATGGCCACCAGGCCTTGACAGAGTTGGGGGTTCATTATGGTCATATAGTCCAGAGGCTTGCAGACAGCATTGAATGGGTCATATGACATCACAGCCAGAAGCATACATTCAACCGTGCATAGCGTCACATTAGTGAAAAGTTGAAAAGCACAGCCACCAAAAGTGATTTTCTTGTCTTTACCCCAGGCATTGACCAACATCTGTGGGACTATATTTGTGGTGTAACAAAGATCCAAGATAGCCAGATTTCTAAGAAAGAAATATATGGGGGTTTGGAGATGTTTATCCAGTAATGGCAGCAGGATAAGGACCATATTTCCCATCAAAGAAATTGCATAGAAGAAAAAGACAACCCCAGAGATGATCATCTCCAGCTGAGGCTTCCCAGGGAACCCAAGGAGCATAAGCCAACCAAAGTAACTATCATTGATCATTTTTGCTATTTTCTGAATATCAGCTGTGAAAATTTAAAAAATAGTCAACATTTTGGAAGCCATAATGAATATATTTAGATATAATATTAGCAGTATATATAGCTAGGAAAAGTACATAATGGGATTGAAAGAAAATATAAGTATTTTATATTTCACCATTGTTCTAATGTTTTATCTGTTTATCCAACTAAGTGTAAAATTTATACCCAGGGCAATTTGCCTTACAAGGTCTATATTCTCAATTACATTGTATATTTCTATACCAAGGCAAAAAAAAAAAAATCTACAAAAATCTCAAAGGTGAATCATGAGCAAAATGGCTAAATAAAACTGGATGGATCTCCCCTTATTAAAAAGGATATTACGAAGGGGTTAGAAATCTGTTACAAGTTATCACCTCCTTTAGCCAAGGGTTCATAGAGAATGCAGGTTTTATACCTTTTATGCCTTTTTTCTAATATTTAAGCTGAACAGTTTTAATCCTGCTGTCCACCTTCACTCTGCTATGTAAATCTTCTGACCTTAAATTTTTAAAATTCAAACTTTTTTCTTTCATCTCAAAACTTGTATTTCCAAATATTATTTGCCTTTCCTTTCCAACTCCCTTGAGACAGCCAGGTGGGAGGTGTTCCCTGGAGAAACTCCAACCAGCCTGCCCACTGAGGTGGAGCCTCCAGAAGTTCATGATGTTTGCCACAGGAAGGAGCCTGGCTCCTCCTTTTCCTGTGTGGAACCTGGGATTCAAACACCTGGTCGGGAAGCACTGTAGCAGGGACTCTGGCCTTCCAAGAGCCCGTGTTTCCCCCTTTACACCCAATAAAATCCTGTCTTACTCACCATTTAAGTTGTGAGTCTGAATTTTCATGGCCATGGGACAAAGAACCCCCTTTTTAGCTGAACTAAGGAAAAGTCCTGCAATATTTTTTGGCACACAATGTGAGGGTTTGAGAAGCAATGAGTGAGGTGCAAACTCACAGTTCCACATGGCTGGGGAGGCCTCACAATCATGGCAGAAGGTGAAGGAGGAGCAAAGTCACATCTTACATGGCATCAGGCAAGAAGAGTGTGCAGGGAAAATTCCCTTTATAAAACCATCAGATCTTGTGAGACTTATTTACTATCACGACAACAGCATGGGAAAGACCCATTCCCATGATTCAGTTACCTCTCACTGGGTCCCTCCCATGCTCCCATGCAGGAATTATGGGAGCTACAACTGAAGATGAGATTTGGGTGGGGACACAGCCAAACCACATCAAACACTGAAATAGAAAAAAAAAGACTTGAAACAAACCCACAGATCTGTGGAAATTTATTTATGACAAAGACAACACTACAGAAGAATAGAGAAAAATTATAATTTTCAATATATGGTGCTGGACCAATGGGATATTAATTAAAAAAATAAATTTGTCCCAACTTATACTGTGTATAAACATCTATTCCAGATAGATTGTAGATTTAGATGTGAAAGGGAAAAAGTATCTTCTAGAATAGGGTACGGAAACTTTTTTGGAAAGGCCAGATAGTAAATATTTTAGGCATTGTGTGTCATCAGGTCTCGGTCACAACTACTCAACTCTGTAGTTGTAGTGCTAAAGCAGCCATAGACAAAAGTAAGTAACTGGGTGTGGCTGTGTTCCTATAAAACTTTATAAAACAGACACAAGTGGCCCACTGGCTACAGTTTCCCAACTCCTGTTTTAGAAATCAATATGAAATAATAACTTTATGGTATTATTAGGTATTATTAGGAAGAGGAATTATTTCTGTAACTGGTCTTAAAAATCACTGACAGGTAAAAAATGATGAATACACTTCAATCATTGAAACTACAAAATTCTGTTCATCAGGTGACACCATTAGGAGTCAAAAGACAAATCACAGAAAAGGAAGAGATATTTTTAGTGCTTGTGCTTGTTAAAAGGCATATCCAGAACATATAAATACTTCATATCAATAAGAAAAATAGTAAAAAATTGCAAAAACCTGAATAGATAAATCTCAAAGGGTAAACATAAGTGGCCAATGCATTTGTGAAATGGATGGTGCTCGTTTGCTTCAATAATCATAAAAGCAAAAATTATACCCATCATGCACTCACATCAGATTGACTAAAATTAAAAAGAAACCTAAGAAAACCAAATATTGATGAAGATGTAGAGCAATGGAAACACATACACTGATAAGTGTTTAATATGGTGCAACCACTCTGGAAAATTTTGGCAGTGTTTCAAAAAACCTGAGTACAAATATACAATGAGGATATATATACATATGCAAGATGAGCCAAAATACATGCATAAAATATTCTAAGCAGAATTGTTTCTGAGGTTTGAAAACGTGAAAAACTATAATTTTTATGAAGACAGAATAAATAAATAAGTTGTATATGTATATTATGAAGTATTTACAGCTGTGGAAATAAGTGAAGTACAGAAATGCTTAATGCATAGATGAATCTTAAAAATATAATGTTATTTGAAAGAATTCAAGTACAACAGAATCCATGTATATAAAAATTAAAAAAATTAAACCATATTATTTGGAGATGCATAGTTAGGTAAGACATCTGTAAAGGAAAGGAAAAGTGTGAAATCTATATATGTAAGAATAATAATTAATGTTGAGAGAGAAGGATAGGGATTATAACCATGAAGCGGCACTTTGGCCACCTCTGAGTACATTTTTCTAAAACTTGACTTGGGTGGGCTTTTGGGTGTTCCATCACAGTGTATTGTACAATAATTCTTTAAGGTGTACATTTATGTTCTTTTGATCTGAAAATTTCTCCTGTCTGCTTTTGGTAACTTCCTTTTCTCTGTTTTCTCTCTCTTCTATTTTTTGAAAGATGTTGGAATTCCTGGAAAATGTGGCGTTCTTAATAGTCATAAAAGTACTAAATATATACTGCAAAATGCTAGGTGTGTCTCTGAGATTTAGGACAACTTCTGAAAGTACTGTCATTAACGGAGAAGCTGGAATAAAAAGAAAAGTCACTCCAGAGCTTAAGTAGTTCCTACAAGTATCTCAATTTATGATGCTTCAAAACAGCTATTGAAACAATTTTACTTTAACTTATCTAATGGAGTATTTAGACTTCAAAATCCTATTAAGTTCATTTTTCATCCTCAAGAACTACAAAAATATCAAAATCAAATATTCTAGATTTTTCATTTTATTTAAGTTTTCTACTTTCTCAAGGGAGAAAGAGGGTATAAGGAATAAAATTAATCACTCTAGCTTTTTTAATAAAAAGTCTTTTTGGCATGAATGGAATTATGTGACTGTATAAATAACTAGGACATGAGCAAGAGATGGAGCAAGAAAAAGTGATATTGGATATTGGATCAGAAACATAAAGGAAGTTTTCAAAAATTCTTTTTCAAGTTACAAGTTGGTAACATAGCTCTGAACTATCCCATGAATCAACATTTATCTTCAAGACAAAAATCAAATTTATCTTCAGTCAAAATATGGAAAGGATAATAACTCAACAAAAATGAGAAAGAAATGCATTTAAAAACACACTTCAGAAAAAGACAGAAAGACCATTTCAATAGCCAAATAAATCACCTTTCTATGTGTCAGTTTTCTTGAAGCACTCAGAGAAAAAATGTAGAACATCTAAAACCAGGTGACATGGCAATACCTCCATGCTCATCCCCAAAATAAGTAGTAAAAACTTGGAAGGCCAAGTGGGAAAGAAAAAAGCATTATCTTAAAGATGATTATTGGAACTGATAAAAATATTTTTCTTTTGTGATCACAAAAATTGAGCTCCTTGAGTAATTATCTAAGCAGAGAAAGATAGGGGGAAATTACTGTGGTTAATTAACATGAGATCTTTTCAAAGATGATTGATAACTAGAACTCTTGGTCTTCTTGGTTAACGACTAGCTTTGCTGCTGTCATCTTCAGGCTGGAGATTTGCCTGTGTAAAAATATTCCTGGGACTGGTTGGAGCAAAAGTGTTGTACCTTAAAATAGAGGGCAATGAAAACAGCTTTTAATCTCCTTAAATTAATGACAATATTTAGTTAACATAATCAAAGGAGACTATTAGAGTTAAATTGGTCAATATCAATATAATTGTAACATATATAATCCAAAAGAAATCAGTGCATAGCATGTTATTTTTAGTGTTGGCACTTTAGTTTATAATTTCATTTTAAATATGAGTTTTGTACATATACCAATCATCATGGATTAAGTATTCAATAAATACATTCGGCTTAATTATAATTTTTATTATAATTTTATTATATTTTTAATGGATATTATCTTTATCTCAGGTGTAGACAATTTATTTACAAAATAAATTGTCTACATTTTAGATTGGGAAGATCAATTGCCATATTAGAAATTGCTGGGAGGAAGAATCAATGTCCTCTTTTTTCCATGCAATCTTTTTCTTTTCCAGTTAGCCTCTTCATGGCCCCCTTGAACTCCTTATTCCTTACCGTATAAATTAATGGGTTCAAGCTGGGAGTAACAATGGAGTAAAATATACTGAGAAGTTTGCCCTCATTCTGATTTGGACTGTTTCCTGGCTGTATATACATGTATGTAACTGTCCCACAGAAGATGGATACCACAACGAGATGGGAGGAACAGGTCCCAAATGCTTTTTGTCTTCCTGCTGCAGACTTGATCTTGAGTACAGCCACAGCAATGAAACCATATGACACAAGAATAAGAAGAAGAGGAACAAGAACTATAATCAGGCACATGGCAAATGTGGTTACCTCCATGGCTGTGGTGTCCACACATGCAATCTTGAATCTTGATCATTGCAGACATTTCACACACACAAAAAAGTGGTCTAGGTGGTGGTTCCTACATCGAGGAAGACTCGTGGCATAAGGGGAAGGTATGATGCAATTAATCACACCAACTACCCAGGAGATGACCACAAGGCCCTGGCAGAGTTGGAGGTTCATTATGGTCATATGATGCAGAGGCTTGCAGATAGCATTGAGTCGATCATATGACATCATGGACAGAAGGATGCATTCAACTGAGTACAGTGCCACATCAATGAAAAGTTGAAAGGCACACCCACCAAAGGTAATTCTTTTGTCTTTGCCCCAGATACTGACCAACATTTGTGGGACTATATTTGTGGTATAACAGAGATCCAAGATGGCCAAATTTCTAAGGAAGAAGTACATGGGGACTTGGAGATGGTCATCTAGGAAAGACAATAGGATGATGGCCATATTTCCCATGAAGGCAATAGTGTAGAAGAAAAAGACAACCCCAGAGATCATCATCTGAAGCTGAGGCTGCCCTGTGAATCCAAGGAGTATAAAACCACTGAAGTGGCTATCATTGATCATTCTGTTTTTTCTTAAGGGAAATCCATGTCATCATTTTGGTAAAGGGCAACGGTGTGATTTTCTTATTTATTTTGCATTGGGTTTGGTGAACTTCTCGGATTTATGGTGGTGTCATTAATTTTGGAAAATTCTCAACCATTATCTCTTAAGATTTTTTTCTGTTTATTTCTTTTTCTTATATTCTGGAGCTCCAAGTACTCATGTGTCAGAGGAGATAATATTATCCTACATAACTTGGATGCTTTTTCTTTTTTCTCTTTGGGTTGAAGTTTGGATAATTTCAATTGACTTGTATTTCAGTTCATGAATTCTTTCCTCTACTGAGTCCAGCCTATTGTTAAGCCCACCAAATTAATTATTTATTTCTTATATTATTTCTGGTATGTTTTTTTTTATATCCAACATTTCCATTTGGTTCTTCTGTACAATGCTAATCTCTTTGTTGAGATCTCCCCTTTGTTCATAAATCTTGTCTGCCTTTACCAGCGAAATGTTAAAACATATTTAAAAAATTCTTATCTGATGATTCTAATGTCTGAACCATGTCTGGATATACTTCACTTGAATATTTCCTCTTTTTAGCTTCAAATGACTCCTGTTTCTTTCTTTTTCTTTTTTCTTTTTCTTTCTTTTTTTTTTTTTTTTTTTTTTTTTTGAGACGGAGTCTTACTCTGTTACCCAGGCTGGAGTGCCTGGGTGATCTCTGCTCACTGCAACCTCTGCCTCCCAGGTTCAAGTGATTCTCCTGCCCCAGCCTCGCTAGTAGCTGGAATTACAGGCGTGCACTGTTTCTATTTTTCTTGCTTGTTAGTGTGCCTCATAGTGTTTAATTTTTATTTTATGCCAGGCATTGTGTGTCTTGGTCAGCTTGGGCTGCTCTAACAAAATACCACAGGCTGGGTGGAATAAACAACAGACACTTATTTCTCAAAGTTCTGGAGGCTGGGAGGTTTAAGATAAAGGAGTAGGAGGTGCAGTTCCTGATGAGGCCCTACTTCTTGACTTGCAGACGGCTGCCTTTTCACTTGCTGTTCCCTCAAGTGGTAGGGAAAGAGTGTGCTCTTCCTTTTATGGTCCCTCTTCCTTTTATGAGGTCACTAATCCCCTTATGGAGGCCCACCCTCATGACCTGATTTAAACCTAATTACTTTCCAAAGGCCCCATCTCCAAATACCATCACATGGAGGGTTAGGGCTTCAACATATGAATTTTGGGGGTACACAGACATTCAATCCATAGCATTCTGCCTTTTGTCTCCCAAATTAATGTTATTCTTACACACACAAAAAAAATGATCTTATTTCAGTAGCCCCCAAAGTCTTAACTTATTCCAAGATCAACTCTAAAATTGGAAGTCCTGTCTCATCTAAATATCATCTAAATCAGATATAGGTGAGGCTCAAGATACGATTAATCCTGAGGAAAAATTCATCCCCAGTTATAAGTCTGTGAAACCAGATAAATTACACACTTCCAAAATACAATGATAGATTAGACATAGAATAGGCATTCTCATTCCAACACCTGGAAGAAAGAAAGGGGTGGCAGGTTCCAAGCAAATCTAAAATCTTGTAATGCAAATACCATTAGATCTTAAAGCTCAAGGATAATCTTTGGTTTCATAATTTGCCTTCTGGGTCTACTGGGATGACAGTCCCACTTTCTGGACAAACTGGGATAGTAGATAGTCGGACCTCTGTAGCTCTGCAGGGAAGGGGTCATGTCCTCATGACTCTTCATTGTACCCAAAAGGCTCTGGCAGCCACTCTGACACCAACTGCCCATTGAAACTGAGATGATAGCCCCAACCTTTAAATCTGAGGTGGCAGCCCAGATAATCTCTAAAACACCTTTAGGGTCTTTCTTCCCTTGTCTTGAAGAGTAATATCACACATTCACATCTGAATAGCTCTATGGTCCAGTCCCAAAGAATCTAAGAAGTCTGACAGACTTTCTTCATTTTATCCCATTCCCATCTCCTTCAGTTCAGACTGACAGTGTTTCTGCTTATATAATCCCGTAATCTCTTTATCGAGTGAGGGTCCAGCCACACCTTTGGTGGTTTTTTTTTTTTCTCAGCATGCTTTCTCATCTTTTGCAGTGTGGATAGGCTGAGAACTTTCCAATTTTTTAAGTTCCAGCTCCTTTTTTTTTTTAACAATTCCTTTTTTGATTCATTTATCTCTTTTTTTTTTCTTGCATCTTAGTAGAAGCAGTCAGGATGAACAAAGTGACTCCTTCAACACTTTGATTAGAAATGTCAGCTATGTTCACTGTTAATTTCATCACTTACTAGTTTTACATTCCACAAAACAATAAAACATGAACATAATTCAGCCAAGTTCTTTACCACTTTATAAAAAGAATCACTTTTTCTCAATTGTCCAATAGCTTATTCTTCATTTCTGTCTAAGCCTTCCCCAGAATGACCTTTACCATACATATTTCTGCCAACATTCTGTTTATAATTATTTATGTATTCTATAAGAAAATGGAAGTTTTTCTCCAGCAGTCTTATATTCTGTATAAGCCCTAAACAGAATAGCTATTATTGTGCATATTTATAGCATGCATCCCCAAATTCCTTAACTTCTACCCCTTTTCCAGTTTTAAAGCCACTTCTACATTTTCAGCTACATCCCACTCCTGGTACAAAAATATGTCTTAGCTCAGGATGTTATAACAAAATACCATAGCTTGGGTGGCTTAAACAACAGACATTTATTTCTCATAATTCTGGAAGCTGGAATGTCCAAATTTAAGGTGCCAGAAAATTTAGTTTTTGGTGAAGTCTCTCTTGCTGACAGACCTTTCACTGTATTCTCACATTGTGTAGATAAAACTCTGATCTTTCTTCCTTTTCTTATAAAAACACTAACCCTGACATGGGGGCCCCACTCTCATGACTGCATCTAAACCTAATTTAACTTCCCAAAGACTCTACCTCCAAATATCATCACATTGTGGTAAGTGCTTCAACATATAAATTTGGAGTGACACAAACAGTCCATAACAATTTGTAAAAAATACTTGTAGGGACAGAAATAAATAGTAAGTAGTATTTATCCTCAGGATAGGACACATTCCTTATTTATCAGGGTATGAGTATGGGGAACTCAGACTGTCTGATGTGTAGCTAAGCTTAAACCTGTTGTAAACTTGGTTAAATTCAGTTAACCACTGTCTTCAACTATTTTGAAGGAAGGGTGGGCCTGAATTCTGGTGAGAGTCCAGATAAGTCTTGATGTTTTATAGTGAGGCTACCAGCCTTTTGGACTACGGGAGATTTCTCTTTGCTTTATAGTCTGGCTGCCAGCCTTTTGGGTCAGTGGGGACTTCTATTTGCTTCCCAGTCCTGTCCCTAGCTTTCTGCCCTTTGAGGGCACTCCCAAACTTTGGAAGGACACTTCAGCACACATTATGAAAGCTTGTAGTGCATTGGAGTGAATTATCTTAGCTTTTCTGCTGCACTTGTGGCAAAATACCCATCCAAGTTTGCTCCTGTAGTGTTGAGAATATCTAGATAGTTTCAAGTAAATTACAGTGCTATCAATCCCAAAATAAAAAAAAAATCTTTGTTTTCATGTCAGGTCACCCTATTTCTTTTGTTTGGTGAAATGACCATGATTTGGCTGAAGTTTTTGAAATGATATCTGAGGCAATACCTTTAAAGAGGGTATCAGTTATCATGATTAATCACAACACAACTAGGTAGGATGTTTCTGTCTCCCTGGAGCATGCTGAGAGATGACACTTGTTGTGTGCCCATCAGACTAACACTAACAGTGTGTCAGGAGACAGAAAATAATGATAAAATTTGCCATTTTAAGCTACAAAAATCTTGGGGATTATATTGGAATGGATTGTCATGAAGAGAGAAAACATTTGACTGAACCAAATGTGGATTAAGCCAAATTTATCAACATGAGAGCCCTTAAAAGATATTCTAATTTTATGTGCTGGCTCAAACAGCTGGGAGAAGCTAAGACCATTTCTTCATTGGGTTGATTTAAAAACTCAACTAACCAGGGTGGAGCCAAAATGGCCGAATAGGAACAGCTCCAGTCTACAGCTCCCAGCGTGAGCAACACAGAAGACAGGTGATTTCTGCATTTCCAACTGAGGTACTGGGTTCATCTCACTGGGGAGTGCCGGATAGTGGGTGCAAGACAGTGGGTGCAGTGCACCATGTGTGAGCCGAAGCAGGGCGAGGCATCGCCTCACCTGGGAATCACAAGGGGTCAGGGAATTCCCTTTCCTAGTCAAAGAAAGGGGTGACAGACAGCACCTGGAAAATTGGGTCACTCCCAACCTAATACTGTGCTTTTCCAATGGGCTCAACAAACAGCACATCAGGAGATTATATCCAGCACCTGGCTCGGAGGGTCCTACGCCCAAGGAGCCTTGCTCATTGCTAGCACAGCAGTCTGAGATCAAACTACAAGGCAGCAACAAGGCTGGGGGAGGGCACCCACCATTGCCAAGGCTTGAGTAGGTAAACAAAGCGGCCAGGAAGCTCGAACTGGGTGGAGCCCACCACAGCTCAAGGAGGCCTGCCTGCCTCTGTAGGCTCCACCTCTGGGAGCAGGGCACAGACAAACAAAAGGCAGCAGTAACCTCTGCAGACTTAAATGTCCCTGTCTGACAGCTTTGAAGAGAGTAGTGGTTCTCCCAGCACGCAGCTTGAGAACTGAGAACGGGCAGACTGCCTCCTCAAGTGGGTCCCTGACCCCCAAGTAGCCTAACTGGGAGGCATCCCCCAGTAGGGGCGGACTGACACCTCACACGGCCAGGTACTCCTCTGAGACAAAACTTCCAGAGGAACAATCAGGCAGCAGCATTTGCGGTTCACCAATATCTGCTGTTCTGCAACCACTGCTGCTGATACCCAGGAAAACAGGGTCTGGAGTGGACCTCCAGCAAACTCCAACAGACCTGCAGCTGAGGGTCCTGACTGTTAGAAGGAAAACTAACAAACAGCAAGGACATCCACACCAAAAACCCATCTGTACGTCACCATCATCAAAGACCAAAGGTAGATAAAACCACAAAGATGGGGAAAAAACAGAGCAGAAAAATTGGAAACTCTAAAAATCAGAGCGCCTCTCGTCCTCCAAAGGAATGCGGCTCCTCACCAGCAACGGAACAAAGCTGGAGGGAGAATGACTTTGACAAGTTTAGAGAAGAAGTCTTCAGAGGATCAAACTACTCCTAGCAAAAGGAGGAAGTTTGAACCAATGGCAAAGAAGTTAAAAACCTTGAAAAAAAAATCAGATGAATGGATAAACAGAATAACCAATGCAGAGAAGTCCTTAAAGGACCTGATGGAGCTGAAAACCATGGCACGAGAACTACGTGATGAATGCACAAGCCTCAGTAGCCGATGCAATCAACTGGAAGAAAGGGTATCAGTTATGGAAGACGAAATGAATGAAATGAAGCGAGAAGAGAAGTTTAGAGAAAAAAGAATAAGAAGAAACGAACAAAGCATCCAAGAAATATGGGACTATGTGAAAAGACCAAATCTATGTCTGATTGGTGCACCTGAAAATGACGGGGATAATGGAACCAAGTTGGAAAACACTCTGCAGGGTATTATCCAGGAGAACTTCCCCAATCTAGCAAGGCAGGCCAACATTCAAATTCAGGAAATACAGAGAATGCCACAAAGATACTCCTCGAGGAGAGCAACTCCAAGACACATGATTGTCAGATTCACCAAAGTTGAAATGAAGGAAAAAATGTTAAGGGCAGCCAGAGAGAAAGGTCAGGTTACCCACAAAGGGAAGCCCATCAGACTAACAGTGGATCTCTCGGCAGAAACTCTACAAGCCAGAAGAGAGTGGGGGCCAATATTCAACATTCTTAAAGTAAAGAATTTTCAACCCAGAATTTCATATCCAGCCAAGCTAAGCTTCATAAGTGAAAGAGAAATAAAATCCTTTACAGACAAGCAAATGCTGAGAGATTTTGTCACCACCAGGCCTGCCCTAAAAGAGCTCCTGTAGGAAGCACTAAACATGGAAAGGAACAACCTGTACCAGCCACTGAAAAAACATGCCAAATTGTAAAGACCTTCAAGGCTAGGAAGAAACTGCATCAACTAACAAGCAAAATAACCAGCTAACATCATAATGACAGGATCAAATTCACACATAACAATATTAACCTTAAATGTAAATGGGCTAAATGCGCCAATTAAAAGACACAGACTGGCAAATTGGATAAAGAGTCAAGACCCGTCAGTATGCTGTATTCAGGAAACCCATCTCACATGCAGAGACACACATAGGCTCAAAATAAAGCGATGGAGGAAGATCTACCAAGCAAATGAAAGACAAAAAAAGGCAGGGGTTGCAATCCTAGTCTCTGAAAAACCAGACTTTAAACCAACAAAGATCAAAAGAGACAAAGAAGGCCATTACATAATGGTAAAGGGATCAATTCAACGAGAAGAGCTAACTATCCTAAATATATATGCACCCAATACAGGAGCACCCAGATTCATAAAGCAAGTCCTTAGAGACCTACAAAGAGACTTAGACTCCCACACAATGATAATGGGAGACTTTAACACCCCACTGTCAACATTAGACAGATCAACGAGACAGAAAGTTAACAAGGATACCTGGGAATTGAACTCAGCTCTGCACCAAGCGGACCTAATAGACATCTACAGAACTCCCCACCCCAAATCAACAGAATATACATTCTTTTTAGCACCACACCACACCTATTCCAAAATTGACCACATAGCTGGAAATAAAGCTCTCCTCAGCAAATGTGAAAGAACAGAAATTATAACAAACTGTCTCTCAGACCACAGTGCCATCAAACTACAACTCAGGATTAAGAAACTCACTCAAAACCACTCAACTACATGGAAACTGAACAACCTGCTCCTGAATGACTACTGGGTACATAATGAAATGAAGGCAGAAATAAAGATATTCTTTGAAACCAACAAGAACAAAGACACAACATACCAGAATCTCTGGGACACATTTAAAGCAGTGTGTAGAGGGAAGTTTATAGCACTAAATGCCCACAAGAGAAAGCAGGAAAGATCTAAAACTGACACCAGAACATCACAATTAAAACATCTAGAGAATCAAGAGCAAACACATTCAAAAGCTAGCAGAAGGTAAGAAATAACTAAGATCAGAGCAGAACTGAAGGAAATAGAGACACAAAAAACCCTTCAAAAAATCAATGAATCCAGAAGCTGGTTTTTTGAAAAGATCAACAAAATTCATAGACCACTAGCAAGACTAATAAAGAAGAAAAGAGAGAAGAATCAAATAGACGCAATAAAAAATGATAAAGGGGATATCACCACCAATCCCACAGAAATACAAACTACCATCAGAGAATACTATAAACACCTCTACACAAATAAACTAGAAAATCTAGAAGAAATGGATAAATTCCTCGACACATACACCCTCCCAAGACTAAACCAGGAAGAAGTTGAATCTCTGAATAGACCAATAACAGGCTCTGAAATTGAGGCAATAATTAGCAGCTTACCAACCAAAAAAAGTCCAGGACCAGATGGATTCACAGCCGAATTCTACCAGAAGTACAAAGAGGAGCTGCTACCATTCCTTCTGAAACTATTCCAATCAATAGAAAAAGAGGGAATCCTCCCTAACTCATTTTATGAGGCCAGCATCATCCTGATACCAAAGCCTGGCAGAGACACAACCAAAAAAGAGAATTTTAGACCAATATCCTTGATGAACATTGATGCAAAAATCCTCAATAAAATACTGGCAAACTGAATCCAGCAGCACATCAAAAAGCTTATCCACCATGATCAAGTGGCCTTCATCCCTGGGATGCAAGACTGGTTCAACATATGAAAATCAATAAACGTAATCCAGCATATAAACAGAACCAAAGACAAAAACCACATGATTATCTCAATAGATGCAGAAAAGGCCTTTGACAAAATTCAACAACACTTCATGCTAAAAACTCTCAATAAATTAGGTATTGATGGGACGTATCTTAAAATAATAAGAGCTATCTATGACAAACCCACAGCCAATATTATACTGAATGGACAAAACTGGAAGCATTCCCTTTGAAAACTGGCAAAAGACAGGGATGCCCTCTCTCACCATTCCTATTCAACATAGAGTTGGAAGTTCTGGCCAGGGCAATCAGGCAGGAGAAGGAAATAAAGGGCATTCAATTAGGAAAAGAGGAAGTCAAATTGTCCCTGTTTGCAGATGACATGATTGTATATCTAGAAAACCCCATCGTCTCAGCCCAAAATCTCCTTAAGCTGATAAGGAACTTCAGCAAAGTCTCAGGATACAAAATCAGTGTGCAAAAATCACAAGCATTCCTATACACCAATAACAGACAAACAGAGAGCCAAATCATGAGTGAACTCCCATTCACAATTGCTTCAAAGAGAATCAAATACCTAGGAATCCAACTTACAAGGGATGTGAAGGACCTCTTCAAGGAGAACTACAAACCACTGCTCAATGAAATAATAGAGGATACAAACAAATGGAAGAACATTCCCTGCTCATGTGTAGGAAGAACCAATATCGTGAAAATGGCCATACTGCCCAAGGTAATTTATAGATTCAATGCCTTGCCCATCAAGCTACCAATGACTTTCTTCACAGAGTTGGAAAAAACTACTTTAAAGTTCATATGGAACCAAAAAAGAGCCTGCATTTCCAAGTCAATCCTAAGCCAAATGAACAAAGCTGGAGGCATCATGCTACCTGACTGCAAACTATACTACAAGGCTACAGTAACCAAAACAGCATGGTACTGGTACCAAAACAGAGATATAGAACAGTGGAACAGAACAGAGCCCTCAGAAATAATGCCACATATCTACCAGTATCTGATCTTTGACAAACCTGACAAAAACAAGCAATGGGGAAAGGATTCTCTATTTAATAAATGGTGCTGGGAAAACTGGCTAGCCATATGTAGAAAGCTGAAACTGGATCCCCTCCTTACACCTTATACAAAAATTAATTCAAGATGGATTAAAGACTTCAATGTTGGACCTAAAACCAGAAAAACCCTAGAATAAAACCTAGGCAATACCATTCAGGACATAGGCATGGGCAAGGACTTCATGTCTAAAACACCAAAAGCAATGGCAACAAAAGCCAAAATTGACAAATGGGATCTAATTAAACTAAAGAACTTCTGCACAACAAAAGAAACTACCATCAGAGTGAATAGGCAACCTACAGAATGGGAGAAAATTTTTGCAACCTACCCATCTGACAAAGGGCTAATATCCAGAATCTACAGTGAACTCCAACAAATTTACAAGAAAAAAACAAACAACCCCATCAAAAAGTGGGTGAAGGATATGAACAGACATTTCTCAAAAGAAGACATTTATGCAGCCAAAAAACACATGAAAAAATGCTCATCATCACTGGCCATCAGAGAAATGCAAATCAAAACCACAATGAGATACCATCTCACACCAGTTAGAATGGTGATCATTAAAAAGTCAGGAAACAACAGGTGCTGGACAGGATGTGGAGAAATAGGAACACTTTTACACTGTTGGTGGGACTGTAAACTAATTTAACCATTGTGGAAGTCAGTGTGGCGATTCCTCAGGGATCTAGAACTAGAAATACCATTTGACCCAGCCATCCCATTGCTGGGTATATACCCAAAGGATTATAAATCATGCTGCTAGAAAGACACACACACACATATGTTTATTGCGGCACTATTCACAATAGCAAAGACTTGGAACCAACCCAAATGTCCAACAATGATAGAGTGGATTAAGAAAATGTGGCACATATACACCATGGAATACTATGCAGCCATAAAAAATGATGAGTTCATGTCCTTTGTAGAGTCATGGATGAAGCTGGAAACCATCATTCTCAGCAAACTATCACAAGGACAAAAAACCAAACACCGCATGTTCTCACTCATAGGTGGGAATTGAACAATGAGAACACGTGGTCACAGGAAGGGGAACATCACACACGGGGGACTGTTGTGGGGTGTGGTGAGGGGGCAGGGATAGCATTAGGAGATATACCTATTGCTAAATGATTAGTTAATGGGTGCAGCACACCAACATGGCACATGTAGACATATGTAACAAACCTGCACGTTGTGCACATGTACTCTAAAACTTAAAGTATAATAATAATAAAATTTTAAAAAAGTAATGTTCAAGTTTATTTGGGTATGAAATTCTAATACCATCCAGAGAGAGTTCATGCTGCTTCAAAATAATTTTAAGTGTAATTCTACAAATAAAGAAACCATTTATATCAATAAAAAAATAAAACCATAAAATTTTAAAAATAAAGAGATGAATATTGAAGATAATCTGATTAGGTAAGATGTTGGTTTATTTCATTTCATACTCTAAGCACATTTTTTTCATAATGGAATTATGCTCTACATGCCCTCCTCAGGAAACTTCCCAGGAAGGTCATCATAATGCTGTTGTTTTGTGCTCATTATTGTTACAAATTCAAAAAATGTAAAAAATATGACAAGAAATATACCCAATAAAGATATTTATGGTGCAAAC
Organism: Homo sapiens; assembly: GCF_000001405.40. Lineage (NCBI taxonomy): Eukaryota > Metazoa > Chordata > Mammalia > Primates > Hominidae > Homo > Homo sapiens. Next base: position 545,557 of record NT_167246.2, read on the forward strand.
ACATCCCTCTTCCACTCCTTACTCCATCTCACTATTTGCCATTTTTCACTTTTCTGAAGATATTCTTTACACATATTAGTGTATGTGGGGTAGTTGTGTATGTGTTCATGTGTTTTAATAGATACATTTATTTATATATGCATATTGATAGGTTAGTAGAGAGATAACATCCTGTGTCATCTTATAAATACCATCTTGTAACTTTTTTCTCCTTAAATATATCAATTCTCTAACTACAGACTTGCCTCGCTATTTTTAATAAATGCAAAATATTACATTATGAAGATGTGTTTAACAACTTCAGGACTGGTAGTCATTTATGAGATGTGTAGCTTTTTGCTAATGCAAACAACACTGCAACAAAGGTCTTTGTACACCCACTTCTGAATGAATATGTGCAAATTTGTGTCAAGTGAATACTTTTATGTATCAAATACATCAATAATTTAAGGCCTTTAAGTGATCTTAGGTCTTTTGCCTAATATTTCTACATTTAAATTTTTATTGTTTTGAAATTAAAGATAGGAATTTATTTATTTTTTTCCTGATTTTAAATCAGTTAGCACACACACACTCCATTGAAACGTTCTGCCTTTACGTAATGATATGAAATTACTCCTTCATGATAAAGTAAATCTCCATACACATTTGGGTTCATTTCTGAAGCCTGATATGAAATGCTTTCAAAAACCTTGCTTCGCATTATTTATTTGAGAGCAAGTTAATTTAGTGGTTTTGATAAGTATACTTTTTAAAATAAAGAAATGCAAAGTCTGGTATTTAAGCTTATCTGTCCAAGAAGACGATTAAGTATTTATACACAGTCTTAGCATTTTCATGTCTATTATTTTTCCTACTATTCCAGAAAGATTGTAACAGAAAAAAAAGGCTAATATAATGGAGATAGTGGGCCAGAATATATGTTGAATTACAATTTCAACCTTCACTCTGAGGGGCCTAGATTAGTTATGCTCAATAACTTGGAGGAGGAAAAACTAGATCAAATTTGGAAGCATTGGTTTGTGTTCCTAGTCTACCTGTCTGTAATCTTGAGAAACTTTGATTTTCTCAGTTTTGGAATTGTCATCAGCTAAATATGAATAATGAAAATGTATTTTCCTAATTTATATAGTGACAATGTTATCCAATGAATCAATATGTCTTATGTTTGTGAAGTATCTTATACAATACATTAAGTGAGAATGAGGAAACACTATAGGAAGAAATAGGAAAAAAAAATCATATTTTAAACTTACATTATTTTAACGAGTGCATGAAGTTGTCATATCTTTATCAGAATAATAAGTACATGTGAAGGAAAAATTTACCTATTTCATAATCCATATTTAAAAAATCACCTTGACATTGGCTCTGTTTAAGTGACGGATTACGTTTATTGATTTGTGTATGTTGAACCAGCCTTTCATCCCAGGGATGAAGTCGATTTGATTATGGTGGATAAGCTTTTTGATGTGCTGCTGGATTCGGTTTGCCAGTATTTTATTGAGGATTTTCACATCGATGTCATCAGGGATATTGGCCTGAAATTTTCTTTTTTTGTTGTGTCTCTGCCAGGTTTTGGTATCAGGATGATGCTGGCCTCACAAAATGAGTTAGGGAAGATTCCGACTTTTTCTATTGTTTGGAATAGTTTCAGAAGGAATAGTACCAGCTCCTCTTTGTACCTCTGGTAGAATTCGGCTGTGAATCTGTCTGATCCTGGGCTTCTTTTTTGGTTGGTAGGCTATTAATTACTGCCTGAATTTCAGAACTTGTTATTGGTCTATTCAGGGATTAGATTTCTTCCTGGTTTAGTCTTGGGAGGATGTATGTGTCCAGGAATTTATCCATTTCTTCTAAATTTTCTAGTTGATTTGCATAGAGTTATTTATAGTATCCTCTGATGGTAGTTTGTATTTCTGTAAGATCAGTGGTGATATCCCCCTTATCATTTTTTGTCGTGTCTATTTGATTCTTCTCTGTTTTCTTCTTTATTAGTCCAGTTAGTGGTCTATTTTGTTAAGCTTTTCAAAAAACCAGCTCCTGGATTCATTGATTTTTTGAACGGTTTCTTGTGTCTCTATCTCCTTCATCTCTGCTCTGATCTGTTATTTCTTGTCTTCTGCTAGCTTTTGAATTTGTTTGATCTTTCTTCTCTAGTTCTTTTAATTGTGATGTCAGGTTGTTTATTTTAAAGGCCTTCAATAAAATTCAACACCTCTTCATGCTAAAAACTCTCAATAAACTAGGTATTGATGGAACGTGTCTCAAAATAATAAGAGCTATTTATGACAAACCCAAAGCTAATATCATACCGAATGGGCAAAAGCTGGAAGCAGTCTCTTTGAAAACCAGCACAAGACAAGAATGCCCTCTCTCACCACTCCTATTCAACATAGTATTGGAAGTTCTGGTCAGGGCAATCAGGCAAGAGAAAGAAATAAAGTGTATTCAAATAGGAAGGCAGGAAGTCAAATTGTCTCTGTTTGCAGATGACATGATTGTATATTTAGAAAACCCCATCGTCTCAGACCTAAATCTCCTTAAGCTGAAAAGCAACTTCAGCAAAGTCTTAGGATACAAAATCAATTTGCAAAAATCACAAGCATTCCTATACACCAATAATAGACAAACAGCCAAATCATGAGTAAACTCCCATTCACAATTGTTACAAAGAGAATAAAATACCTAGGAATACAACTTACAAGGAATGTGAAGGACCTCTTCAAGAAGAACTCCAAACCACGGCTCAAGGAAATAAGAGAGGACACAAACAAATGAAAAAACATTCCATGCTCATGGATGGGAATAATCAATATCGTGAAAATGGACATACTGCCTGAAGTAATTTAGAGATTCAATGCTATCCCCATCAAGTTACTATTGACTTTCTTCACAGAATTAGAAAAAAACTACTTTAAATTTCATATGAAACCAAAAAAGAGCCCGTATAGCCAAGACAATCATAAGCAAAAATAACAAAGCTGGAGGCATCATGTTACCTGACTTCAAACTATACTACAAGGATACAGTAACCAAAACAGCATGGTACTGATACCAAAACAGATATATAGACCAATAGAACAGAACAGAGGCCTCAGAAATAATGCCACACATCTACAACCATCAGATCTTTGACAAACCTGACAAAAACAAGCAATGGGGAAGGGATTTCATATTTAATAAATGGTTTTGGGAAAACTGGCTAGCCATATGCAGAAAACGGAAACTGGACCCCTTCCTTACACCTTATAAAAAAATTAACTCAAGATGGATTAAGATTTAAATGTAAGACCCAATATCATAAAAACTCTAGAAGATAACATAGACAATACCATTCATGACATAGGCATGGTCAAAGACATCATGACTAAAACACCAAAAGCAATGGCAACAAAAGCCAAAATAGACAAATAGGATCTAATTAAACTAAAGAGCTTCTGCACAACAAAAGAAACTATCATCAGAGTGAACAGTTAACCTACGGAATGGAAGAAAATTTTTGCAATCTATCCATCTGACAAAGGACTAATATCCAGAATCTACAAATAACTTAAACAAATTTACAAGAAAAAAAACAACCCCATCAAAAAGTGGGTGAAGAATATGAACAGACACCTCTCAAAAGAAGGCATGAAGACATTTATGTGGTCAACAAACATATGAAATGAAGCTCATCATCATTGGTCATTAGAGAAATGCAAATCAAAACTACAATGAGATACCATCTCATGCCAGTTAGAATGGTGATCATTAAAAAGTCAGGAAACAAGAGAGGCTGGAGAGGATGTGGAGAAATAGGAATGCTTTTACACTGTTGGTGGGTATGTAAATTAGTTCAACCATTGTGGAAGACAGTGTGGTGATTTCTGAAGGATCTAGAACCAGAAATACCATTTGACCTAGAAATCCCATTACTGGATATATACCCAAAGGATTATAAAACATTCCACTATAAAGACACACGCACATATATGTTTATTGCAGCACTATTTACAATAGCAAAGACTTGGAACCCAAATGCCCATCAGTGATAGACTGGATAAGGAAAATGTGGCACATATACACCATGGGATACTATGCTGCCATAAAAAAGAATGAGTTTATGTTCTTTGCAGGGACATGGATTATGCTGGAAGCCATGATTCTCATTAACTAACACAGGAACAGCAAACCAAACACTCCTTATTCTCACTCATAAATGGGAGTTGAACAATGAGAACACATGGACACAGTGAGGGGAACATCATACATTGGGGCCTGTTAGAGGGTGGGGTGCATTAGGAGAAACACCTAATGTAGATGACGGGTTGATGGGTGCAGCAAACCACCATGGCATGTGTGTACCTATGTAACAAACCTGCACGTTCTGCACATGTATCCCAGAACTTAAAGTATAATGAAAAAAATCATCTTGGCAACCATGAGATTTAGTCTTGCTTGAATTAATTTTCTTTCTTCTTAGATGACTCTCCAAACTTACATGCCCAAAGTTTGTATTTTGTTAGAAACATTTTCTTGATTTCTTCTGTGGCATACTCATTTTCTAGTCCCTCTGGTTATTTTTCCCTGGACATGTTGGCAGCAGTAGAGGCTAATTATTTTGAATCTCGGAGGCTTAAACGGAAGTATGAGAGTGAGGCAGTAATGGCATGAAAGCTCCCTGAAGAGCTATGTATTCTATGGATGGCCATCAGTTGGAGTTGGTTTCTTGAGGTTGACCCTTCAGTAGGTCAGAGAGAGCTGGGTTGATGTTAAAGAGGGCTGAGAAGAAATTCAAACAACAAACTGGTTTGAGGATCATGTTTGGGCCCCAGGTCAGTCTTCCAGGACTCCGTATCTCCATGTCACATTCCAGACAAACTGATGGATTACAACCCAGCATCAGGTAAATGTTGAAGGGATTTGGAGAGGGAATATTAATTAAAGTTGTCATCACTTCGTGGAGTAGGCTGAAGGGAGCACTCAGGAGTAGAACTATAAAATAAAAATTTTTTAAAATGTAAAAAGGTTTATTCTACAAGCCACATACATTTTTGTTTGAGAGAACAATAAGCTTATGAAAAGTATACTGATGTAGGATTCAAAATATTGTATTATTCAAATCTTTTCTTCTGAATTTACTAGATCTATAAACTTGAGCAAGTCCTACAACCTCTTGGTGCCTGCGTTTCCTCTCTTCTGTTATATAAAAAAATCGTTCTTTAGAGGCATATTATAAGAAGAAAACAAACATACTTGTATGAAAGCAATTATATACTTAAAATTTAAGTTTATGGATAGAAAATTTGATATGAACTATCTGGTGTTTGCCAATCTTTGTTAAACACTATTCTATTATTAGGAGACTGATGGAAAAATATGTGTTACCAATCATGTTATTTACCTTTGAAACTTTATATTTTCATTTAAGTATTTTTAGGTGTACCTTTTTTTAACCACTTTTCTAGACTGAAACTGCTATTTCCATTACAAAGATTGTAGCTATTAAGATGTTGATTTTTGAGAAAATTTAGCTCTGAAAGGCCTACCACTCAGATAATCAAAGGTTGTTTAAATCCATTAGCTGGGTGTGGTGGTGCACACCTGTAATTCCAGCTGCTCTGGAGGCTGAGACAGGAGAATCGTGTGAACCTGGGAAGCGGAGGTTGCAGTGAGCTGAGATCACATCACTGCACTCCAGCCTGGGTGGCAGAACAGAAACAAAAACAAAAACAAACAACAACAAAAAGTTGTTTAAATCTATGACAATTTAGAACAAGGGAATCTGATAGCATGGAATTAAAACTATAGCAAAAGTTCTTACAAAGTAACATGAAGAGGAAGTATATAAAATAAGTCAGGTAGAATGAAAATCTAAATATTGTTTCAGTTTTGTTTATTAACATATTATATTAGAGCCATGCTTAGAAAGTTAATGAAGAGTGTATTAGGATGTAAACGTTTAAAATAATGGGCTTCATGTGTTCTTAAACCATGTGGTCAGATACTTCTACTCTGCTCACCCTTCGTTTTTTTGTGCACTCCATTTGCCAGAGATCTATAGATTCTTCTGTCTCCCAGCTCCAGTTTTTCACCCTCAAGGGGATTATCAGCCTGTTTTTAACTTTTGATTTAGGCGAATTCCGTATTATTCTTATACAGTCAGAAAGGCAAGAACTCCCTGCATCCTTTCTAGACATTTAAACTGAATTACTGAATTTAGTCTTAGATCTTTCATTTTTATTTTCTATTTTTCTTCCATTTCTTTTTATATTCATATATTTGACAGCTACTTATGTGACTATTACTATGTATCAGACAAAAATTTACCATCTTTATGTACTTCTTTTTTCTGTCTTATTTTTTTCTTTCCATTTTTCTTCTCTCTTTACTTTCTGAGTTTATCTGCTGCTATTATTTCCTTGTTACTCATTTTACCTCTATTTCCTATAAATTTTCAATATTTAAGCACAAATGAAGTATATGGAAAACCAGGGGAACAGGCTACATATACTTCTTTAATAACTTTACTGTTTTCCTCGGGTAAAGTATATAATTAATTTTATTCATAACTTTCCAAACTTACCCCAGAAACTTAATAGTACTTAATAGAACTTAATAGAAACAAATAGCTGTGCCTACTGGAAGAGAAGCAGTAGAAAAATATAAAGATTGTGAAAATGTTATTACTAATTTTGAAATGTAGGAAAAGAAACACAGCTTTCTTCAGATTTAGAACATTATCTGAGTTCTAACTAAATGAGATTCTGAAAGAGACTCTAGCAAGAAAACAATCCAGACAGAATGAAGGTAGCATTCCAAAATTGTCTTTTTAGGATTTTAATTGGACAAGGAATTACTTGAATACTGATTAAGAAGTATTCTTCTATAAGAAATCCTACAACACAGAAGAAGTCTTCCTTTGACCATAATAGATAAGGCAAAATTTGATTCAGAAATATATATGTAAAGATAAAATTGTTTCTCAGTATTGAATCAAAATATATTCATATAATAATCTTCTAATCAACTGGCAGAGATATGTGTTCCATTTCTTTGGGGATACAATACAAAATGTAATCATATATATATATATATATATATTATATATATATATATATTATTTTTTTTTTTTGAGACGGAGTCTCACTGTCTCCCAGGCTCGAGTGCAGTGGTGCGATCTCGGCTCATGGCAAGCTCCGCCCCCTCCGGGTTCACGCCATTCTCCTGCCTCAGCCTCCCGAGTAGCTGGGACTACAGGTGGCTGCCACCACACCCGGCTAATTTTTTTTTTTATTTTGAGTAGAGACGGGGTTTCACCTTGTTCGCCAGGATGGTCTCGATCTCCTGACCTCATGATCCGCCCGCCTCGGCCTCCCAAAGTGCTGGGATTGCAGGCGTGAGCCACCCCGCCCGGCCGTAATCATATTTTTAAGGCTCTATTCCTAAAGACTCACTGTCCCAGGTGAGAAATGGGAGAAGAAAGGAATTGGATAGCACCAGTTTGAATGAAGAGTGGCATTATAGAGATACAAAATGACAAGGTTTAAAAAAGGAGACGTCCCAGAAGTTTCTAGAATCACTTCTATGTAATTTTACCATGTGAGTAGTCCTACTAATATTGCAGCTACTGCTTTTGTATTATATGTGGTCTTTTATAAGTTTTTTTTTAATTTACAAAGGAAATATACATTTAATTGTCATTAAAGTACTATGGAGTTTATATGCAAGTATTTTAATTCTCTTGATCTGGTTGAACAAACCAGGTCACAAGGGTATGAAGTGACATATTTAAAGTCCATGCATTTTTAGTAAGTAAAATAAATGTATTTATTGGTTAATTAGTTACATCAATTTGAGAATTAGCAATAAAACCCTAAAACTGCCAATGGGGCATATTTTAACTCTGCTTTGACCTCTTGGGCTCTGAATTAGTAAATGATGTATATGGGTTTGGTTGTGATGAAATATCAGTGAAACTGATTGAGGTCATAGGTGAAAAATAATGATATCAAAATGCTAATGTAATCTAGGAATAACATATCAGAGCACCAAAGGAAAAAGCTTCATGATTGCTGGTTTCAACTAAATTCAAATTGATTAACATGTAGTAAATATCTATTATATTTAACATATACTCTTATGTCTAAAAGTCACGTGCTGACTCTTTTCAAAGAGTATGTAATCGATATAGTCAGGAAAACATATCGAGTACAAAAAAGACAGAAAAAAATCTCTATCTCTCCCATATATAGATATATATCTATATATGAGTATATATGTATATCATGAAAAAATTATCAAATCATATATACATGATATATATATATCATGTATATATATATATATCATGTATATATGTCATATTTATAAATGAGTATATCATCAAGAAATTACAAATAAAATGCTCTGGACGACCAGTAAGAAAGGAGAGCAGGAAATACTTAAGGACATTTTTATATTTGAGATGATCCTTACAGGATACATAACAACAATGGCATTTCACATCAGCATAAATACAAGGGGTCAAGGGGGAAGGTCACAAGTTTGGTTGGATCAGTGAATATGTCTGCATGGTTCAAGCGATTGTTATATGAGGCCTGAGTCCAAGGTTGCATTTTAATATAATGTGTCAGAATATGGAGAGCCACTGAATAATTTTGAATTGAAATGTACATGGCCACATTTTAACGATGGAAAGACTGTTCTCCAAACCAGCTAGGTTGTTTTGAAGATGAGAGAACAATTGTAAGTAAGAATACCAGTTTGAAAGCTAGAGATCATGGGACACTGAACTATTTTCTGTATGTCTGCCTTAATGTTTTTAGATAGATACAGATTTAATAGATAGATTTGAGAGACAATGGTGAAGAAGAAATTACTCCAGCTGACATCTTACGTGACATGTATGCAATTATAATTCAAAGAGAATGATGACCTCTGCATACCAAAAGAATTGTTATTCTATAAGCAAATGAAGAAATTAGAAGTGTTAATGGATGGATACTAAAATCAGTTTTGAATTTAGTGATTCTTATGTTTAGCTGTGAAGCAAGTTTTTATCCCTATCATTTCTCACTGTCACTCATTTCATTCACACGGATACCGTAACTCAGATGACACGATTTGAAATATAGAGCTGGCCAACTAAGTACATGAACCCTACTAAGTCAGGATCACAAGAAGAATATGACATAGGGCAACTGAGAGGATCAGAAAAGTAAATAGAGGATCCTGAGCTGATTTCAGAGCAGTCACATTTTGTTTACTATCCTCTAATAAATATTTGTTTATTGTTACAAATATCATTATAAACTGCATAAATGCATAAAAATAAAACAACTGTAATACATCTGGGGATTCATAATTAGGTAAGTATATAATAATTGTTAATAGTCATTGAATTATTAGTATATGACAAGAACTGAGCTATGTTTGCAATGTACACTCTATTCCTTAATTTGTACACTAGTTCTATGAGATGGGTATAATTATGCTTATTTGAAAGATGAGAAAATTGAAGCACACAAAGATTAAATGACATCTCCAAAGTCACACAGCTAATGAATGGAATGACTGGGATTTGGAGGAAATCCCAGTCTTTTATAAATGTCTTTTATAAAACAACTAGAGAAAAACACAAGACAAATTTACTAAAAGATAAGAGTCAAACAAAAAAAGAAATTTGGGATTGTAGGGAATGGAAAAATTTGCAATTGGAGTTATTCTTTAGAAATTATATGATAAAGGAATTGTGTAATTTGGATGGGCAAAGAGCAGGATAGAGGCAATTTTGGTGGAAAAAATAGTATCAGTAATTAGAAAATATGAGAATAAAGAAGGGAGAGAGAGGGAAAATGATTAAGTTTATATGTGCTGAGAATGATGCTGAGAGATTACAAATTCATATACATCCTCAAATTTCAAGGATTCACATATTTAAAACTCTTTCTGGTGATTTCTTCCAGAGATTAAAATTTCATCAAATGTATCCAGATATTTTTAAAGTTGCATTTTCACAGCAAACAAATTTCTAAGGACTGATTGTTTTTTTGTGTGTGTAATTTTGTTTGTTTTTTTGGCTTTTTTCTCCCTATTTTTAAATGTTCTGAGTAGGACTAGCATTAAAGCTTGGAAGGGGTAAAACGAGTCATGGCACTCCATCCTTTTATCATGCAGACTTTATAAAGTGCTCCAGTTCTTATGGTGTTTTCTGACCAGGATCTGTATCAAGCAGATGAACATGCCAAGATGTCTTCGTTCTCCCTGGCTGCACATCCTCCTGTAGTCTTCATGCCGGCCTTCGTTTGACCTGTTTTTGGGAAGTTCTGCCTTTTCCTTCTATTTTAATCTACACTCTGTTGCCACCATTACATATCCATGCATGTAGAGTTGATGGTAGTATACTAAAACTTTTTAGAAGAGAAGATATGAAAACCCAAATGGAGTGAATAGCTAACCAGAAGACATATATTAAATAAGCAAAATTCCCAACTATGTTGCTGGTGTGGTATTTATTCTGTTCTCAGTAATCTTTCAATATTACATTGATGATGTTGTCTCCACATTTCATCATAATCAGGATGTAGATGCAAATGATATTTTACTGTAATGAAGATACAGATGCCGATTAGAGCAAAAATGAAAATTTCATCTTGGCATCTCTGATCTCTAATTCTCAGTGGCTTCCTCCTACTGTTGATGTCTATCCCTAACTGTGGGTATTTAGAGGTCTCAGCTGGAATTTCACCTCCCAGTGCTAACATGTGGATCAACAATCAAAGCTCGCTAGATGATTTTATCCTATTGGGATTTTCTGACCGTCCCTGGCTAGAGACACCCCTCTGTAATCTTTCTGGTGGCCTACATCTTTTCCCTATTTGGAAATATCTCCATTATCCTAGTTTCCCATCTGGATCCCCAGCTTGACAGTCCCATGTACTTTTTTGTCTCTAATCTATCCTTTCTGGACCTCTGCTATACCACCAGCACTGTCCCACAGATGCTGGTCAACCTCCGGGGACCAGAAAAGACCATTAGCTATGGGGGTTGTGTTGCCCAACTCTATATATTTTTGGCCCTGGGTTCTACTGAATGCATACTTCTAGCCATCATGGCCTTTGACCGTTACGCTGCCATATGCAAGCCCCTTCACTACCCAGTCATCATGAACCATAGACGCTGTATCCACATGGCTGCTGGCACTTGGATCAGTGGCTTTGCTAACTCCCTTGTCCAGTCCACTCTCACAGTGGTGGCCCCAAGATGTGGACAGAGGGTGTTGGACCATTTCTTCTGTGAAGTTCCAGCCCTTTTGAAACTAGCCTGTATTGATATTCGTGTGAATGAAATGGAGCTCAATGTACTAGGCGCTTTGCTTCTCCTGATGCCACTCACCCTCATCCTGGGCACTTATGTGTTCATTGCTCAGGCAGTAATGAGAATCTGCTCTGCTGAAAGTCGCTGGAAGGCTTTCAATACCTGTGCCTCACATTTGCTGGTGGTCTCCCTCTTCTACTTCACAGCCATCAGTATGTATGTCCAGCCTCCCTCTAGCTATTCTCATGACCGGGGGAAGATCATGGCTCTCTTTTATGGCATTGTCACACCCACCCTCAACCCATTCATCTACACATTGAGAAACAAGGATGTGAAAGCTGCCCTGAGAAGGTCACTGACTAAAGAGTTTTGGATTAAGACAAGATGATATCTGAAAAGAAGTCCTAAGAAGCGAGGATAGATGTGTTTGACTTTCAAAAAGATGTTGGACATGGAATTGATGAGGGAACAGTATCAAGTGACACAAAGTTTACAAGTGGAACAAGACTAAGAAAAAAACAATTAACTCTTGGTAAAATCTACATAGCATTTTTTCACTTACGAGACTATCTGCTTTACAGTATTGGATTCCATCAAGTCAGTCTTTTTTCTCCCTATTCCTAATGACTAGCTAATCTAGTTAAAGTAAGGGAAAATGGTATAATAGCTAGAGAAAAAGATACTGAGAAAGTTTAGGAAATATATTTAGCATAAATTGTTTATAAATGAATCCCAATTAAATTAGAAATGATCCCAACTCTTAGAAAAACATGCCAGTACTATCGTGAGGTAATTTTGATCAACATGTATTGCCACCATTTAGCCATCTTCTAACATTCGATGTCCAATTATATCACCCTCAAATGCTTTTGTAAGGTCTCACAGGCAAGTAAAATCAAGAGACAATTAGTTCAAAAACATTAAGATGGAATTATGGAAAGAGAAATTAATGAACAAATTTAGAGGTGATGATTTTAAATATATTTTTTTTGCCATGAATTCTTTTAAATACAAATTTTTTTTGCCATAAATGTTTTGCCTTAGTCAATCTTATGCTCTTGTGGTACACAACAATGAGGCCTAGGTCAATGCAAATAGAACTTACTCTGGGGGGAAAGATGAACAGTGAGATGCTTTGGATAGTGATCAGCAGGGGAAAAACCTGAGGTGGAAAAAATTCTAATTTAGGGACACAAACTCAGTGGGAATTTACATGTTTTGACAAGGCAGCTTTCTTCACCACTTGACTGGGTAATTTAGTCCTATTTCAGTGTGGGGGTTTGAGAATACCATGTGGAATTCAAAACTTTGGTTGATCTATTATCTTTATTTAGAAAAAAAAGACTTTTATAGCCTTTTGCTATAAACTGCCTCACAAACCTATGAGCCGAAGAAACCAAGACAAAATAGAGTGAGTTCACCAAAAAATCCACATCATTAAAAGAACAGTGCAAAGCTCTATTTCCTGTACTGTGAGCATGTCCACTTTCTGTGGCTCCCGGTGGTGAGACAGATGAGAAGCTGGAACACAGATAAAAGGTTTTTGGGAACACTTTTGAAGGCCTGTGGCTATATAAGAGAAAGTGAGTTCATTTCCTTAATTCTAGTATAATCTGGAAAAGGATCCTAGACATTATGCATTTTTTTGATCACAGTATTTTTCCCAACCCATGGTTCATTTATACATGGAGTCTGCTATTGGCATGAAATAAAATACATCCTAATATGTATTATGAAAAAAACGCTTATTGTATTTATTTATTCTATTAAAGCAGTATATTTCTCAGAGGTTGAATGTTGGGGGTTTTTGTGGTCATTTAATAAAAATGTTAACATATTCTTGAGTTTGTTTGTTTAACTTAGAAGTATAAATAGAACTCAAAATAATTGAACATTGAAACTACTGTGTTGCATTGGAATAAACATGGATATATTATGTTGAGAAAATCACATGTATTTTTAAATTAAAATATGGGTGCTTGGAGAAATGTTTTGCTGATGTGGGTGGCTGCTCAAGATATGTCCCCCAAGCCCTAGAAATATATTTTGATTCACTTTCATTATTACAGATATGCCAGAGAAAAATTTTATCTTTAAACAGTTTTAAATTTTTGACTTTATAAAGGTATAATATTTCTGCATGTATGCTGCCTGAGATTTTGGAAGGCTATATATTTAAATATATCATTAAATAAATTATAGTACCTGTACTATCAAGCAAGCAAATCAAAATAAGGCAATGTTGAACAAGTTTAATAAGGAAATATTTTAAGTATTCCTGAAAGTATTACCAAAACATTAGTAAAGTTATTAAATATTAAAAGTTACTAAATATTACATCAATTATGCAAATAATTGGCAAGCCATTAAATAGAAATAGGCCCTGTGCTATAGGAGCAGTAGGAAAACATATTCAATAAGGTAAAAATATTTATATCAGAACAAAGTCTACTATCATATTTATTCTAGGAGAAGTGGATAATTCCCAACACTTTTAGAAATAATAGAAATTTTCTGACTCTCATCACAGTTATATATTGTTGGTTTGGATTAACTACCCAACATGATTTAAAAATAATATTAGTAAATTATTAAATAAAAATATTTATTTGTTATATCTTATAAAACAACATAAACAGCAACATTTAAATGAGCTGTTGCTATGATGAGGTTTATCTTATGATGAAAATGCATTCCTTTATTTGGTAAATATTTATTGATGGCAACTATGTACAAGTCACTGAAATAAAATTAGACATTTACCTTTACATCAAGGAATACAACTTTTGAAAAAAACTGAGAAATAAAAAAGGCAGAACTGAGCATCCAGACTAAGGCAGAATTTGTCATAAAAAGTGTCAGAAAAGATAATGCTAAACATAGAAAAATCTTTCACGACTTGCAGAATGATGTGATTTGGCTCTGTGTCCCCATCCAAATCTCATCTCGATTGTAATCCCCATATGTTGAGGGAGGGAGGTGACTGGATCGTGGGGGTGGTTTCTCCTATTCTGGTCTCGTGACAGTGAGTTACTTTTCATGAGATCTGATGGTTTTACAAGCCTCTGGCATTTCCCCTGCTTGCACTTCTCTCTCCTGCCACCATGTGAAGAAGGTCAGTGCTTCCTCTTCACCTTCCACCATGATTGTAAGTTTCTTGAGGCCTCCCCAGCCATGTGGAACTGTGAGTCAATTAAACCTCTTTTCTTTACAAATTACCCAGTCTTGGGTATTTCCTTATAGCAGTATGAAAATGGACTAATACACAGAGAGAGGGCCCTGCTTGAGTTTAGCTGAGCGCTGATTTGCATGTGTGTGAGGAAGCTATCCAAGAATGAGGAAAGAACCACTTAATGGATTAAGGTAAATAGTGCCCAATGCTTATGCAAAGGCTGGGAATTTTGTGGGTTCTCAAGCTATTTATGTGCCAGAATGAAAACCTAAGAATTCCTGAGGCATTGAGTTTAGCAATCAAAAGTGTCTTGCTTCAAGAATTTCAATAATTAGCTCTAAACTAAACACTGTTCTGGTTTTACCTAACAAATCTTCAAAACAAGTGACTAAAGTATCAAACTGTATCCAAGTAACTTAGTAACACTCCAGAATAAACTCAAGGGTATTTATAGGATTACAGATATACCCAGTAAAAGAAAATTTTCCAATGAAAATTTACTAAGCATGAAAAAAAGCAGGAAAATATGATGTAAGGAGAAAAATCAATAAATCAAACCTGACTCAGAACTGACACATATGTTAGAATGATTCAAGTTATGGCATTAAAACAATTATACTGTTTACCATATGTTCAAAAATTTAGAGACGAGGAAGATACTTTAAAAAATCAAACTTCTAGAGATGAAAACCACAACGTTTAAATATACATAATACCTAAAAGCACTGAATGTAATTCATAGTACACTAAACATTGAGAAGTCCCATGATCTGCAGTTGGCATGCTGGAGTTCCTGGGCCTTGGGAGGAGGCTCTGTGCAGGCCTCCCAGGGCCAGTCCCCTGGGGTCTGCTCTATACAGGTCACCCGAGGCGTTAGGGTGACCTCGGAGCCTGCCACTCCCGACAGCCAGACCCAGGGCCTGCGTTCTGCTCTATCCAGGGCCTCCCTGAAAGCCCCTGCCCGACTAGGCACAGCTGCAGCCGCCAAAGTCGGTGCAGTATACCCGGGGCTCCTGTGTGCTGGGAGCAGGCAGGAGCTCTGCCCACCCTGGGCGCGGCTGCAGCCACCCACGTCAGGGTTGTAGACTTGGGCCTCCATGTGCTCTTGAGGGCTGGGAGCAGGCAGGAGCCCCACACCCCCAGGCACAGCTGCAGCTGTCCAAATGGAGACAGTAGATGTGGGCCTCCGTGTGCTCTTGAGAGCCAGGGAAGGCCCCCTTTGCCATTGCAGGCTCAGAGGTGCCTGCTCCTACTGCCTGGTCTCTTCCCACTCTCTGCAACTGATCCAATCTAGGAGTAGGTGGAGCTGAGCCCAGGCACTGTCACAACCCTGCCAGGTATATGCATGATCGAGCCCTGCCACCTCAGCCCCCTCTGGATGTTGGGCCAGACAAGAGTGGATGCGGGCAAAGCGTTGGCCTGCAGGTGCCCCTTGGCACCATGAAAGGCGTCAGGAGGCAGACGGGCTCCTAGGTGGAAGGGAGTGGGTCCCTGTAAGGCCCCATCCTCAGGCCAGGAAGAGCCTGAAGGCTGGGGGTCAGGCTGCCACACCGGTGGACTGGAGTGGGGTCTTGTGGTGCCTTTTTCTGCCCACCCATGGCCACGGATGGACCACTCCATATGCACTTCCTCCCCTCTGAGGTCCATAAAAGCCCCAGGATCAGCAATAGCATGGTAGAGGACAACTGAGAGATGACGAGATGACCAGCTGCAGAGAGTAGCTATCCTCTCTGCTGAGAGCTGGGAAGTCAATGGGGACCTGCCTGCAGAGAGGAGCCACCTCTCCAAACACACCCAGAATGATGTTCGACCAAATATAGGCCTGTCTCATTTTATTGTGCTTCACTTTATTGCACCTGAAGGTTTGTGGCAACCTTGCAATGAGCAAATCTATCAGTATCATTTTTCCAACGGCATGTGCTCCCTTCATATCTCTATGTGACGTTTTGGTAATTCTCACAATATTTCAAACTTTTTCGTTATTATTGTATCGTTATTGTCAGGCCTCTGAGCCCAAGCTAAGCCATCGCATCCCCTGTGACCTGCATGTATATGCCCAGATGGCCTGAAGTAACTGAAGAATCACAAAATAAGTGAAAATGGCCTGTTCCTGCCTTAACTGATGACATTCCACCACAAAAGAAGTGAAAATGGCCGGTCCTTGCCTTAACTGATGACATTACCTTGTGAAATTCCTTTTCCTGGCTCATCCTGGCTCAAAAAACCTCCCCCACTGAGCACCTTGTGACCCCCACTCCTGCCCGCTAGAGAACAACCCCCCTTTGACTAATTTTCCTTTACCTACCCAAATCTTATAATATGGCCCCACCCCTATCTCCCTTAGCTGACTCTCTTTTCGGACTCAGCCCGCCTGCACCCAGGTGATTAAAAAGCTTTATTGCTCACACAAAGCCTGTTTGGTGATCTCTTCACACGGACGCGGGTGAAAGTTATGGTGACGTGTGATCAGTGATCTTTGATGTTACTATTGTAATTGTTTTAGGGAACCACAAACTGCCCATGTAAGTCAGTGAACTTAATTGATAAATGATGTATGTTTTGATTGCTCCACCCACTGGCTGTTCCACCATCTCTCCCTCTCTTCAGGCCTCTCTATTTTCTAAGACACAACAATATTGAAATGAGACCAATTAATAATCCTACAATGGCCTTTAAGTATTCAAGTGAAAGGAAGAGTCACATGTCTCTTATTTAAATCAAAAGCTAGAAATGATTAAGCTTAGTGAAGAAGGCCTATCAAAAGCCAAGACAGGCCAGAAGCTAGGGCTTTTGCACCAGTTAGCCAAGTTGTGAATGTAAAGAAAAGTTATTGAAAAAAATTAAAATGCGCTACTCCAGTAAACACATAAATAAGATAGCAAAACAGTCTTATTGCTGATATGGAGAAAATTTTTTGTGGTCTGGATAGAAAATTTTAAAAAGCTAGGGAAAAAAAGAAAAATAAATCCATGTCAGTAGAAGCCAGAAAATAATAAAGAAAATATTTAATAATTGAAAGTAATAAAATAGAAAATAATAGATAAATTAATTTTTGTATTTTTTGTAGAGACAGGGTCTCACCATGTTGCCCAGGCTGGTCTTGAACTCATGTGCTCTAGTGATCTGCCTGCCTTGGCCTCCCAAAGTGTTGGGATTGCAGGCATGAGCCACCTCGCCCTGCCTGAGTTAAACTTCTAGTGGAAAACCCCTTTTATATAAGCCACAAGCAGTTTCAGACTGTCCAATGTTATTATTACTAACATAAATTAATGTAGGCTTTCTTTTATCCTAGAGGAGTTGTGGAAAAACATCCTCATGGCATGAATTATGAGTCAGAATATTAAAGGCATAGACACAGGAGTTGGAAATTGAAAGTGTAGATGAAAAAAAAAGAAAAAGAATTTTACAATATCAAAATTAGATTTTTTCACTGAATTCAAAAAGGTCTCCACAAAACTTTTGTAAGGGATTCAAACCCTTCCTTTAAAAAATAAATAAATAAATATTTCTTAATATCAGTCTGTAGTTACTGTATCATCAGGAACAGGTTTTGAAAATTATTGTTTATGCTGAGAAAACAACTATCTGAATATAACTAATAACCATTATTACTAGATTGATTCTAGGAACATAGATAAATTTAAATTTATTTTTAAAAGACAAACATTTTTAATATTTGAAAATATAGGTCACCCTGAGCTTTCTAGTAATTGGAATGAATGACAATTGCTTTTGTTTGCTAACACATCCATTTGTCTACAATTTTCTTAATGTATTTAATTCTGAAATGATTCATTCAGTTTCGGTCTGATGAAGAGAGTAAAGTGAAAATATTACTCATCAATTGAAATATTACTATAGGGTCTTTTTGTAACTGATTTCTTTGTCATTGGATGCTCTTAGCATGTATTGATTAGATTTAATCAATCTTAAAAAAAAAGAAAAACACACATCTCTCAAATTTTAATGTGCCTTTATCTTGGAAAGTATTTTATTAAAGTTTATCCTATTTGAACTATCCCACAGTTTTCTCTAAATTATCCATTATTGTTGTATGTTGAAATTTTTGGATTATTTGTCTACTAACCACCATGTATAATATTGAATCCACCTACCATCTGTATCCAAAGCTTTTACAAAAACATTGATCAGATCACAATCAAAGTCAATGTTAAAATAGAAAATTCTTTCCTCAAAATGAAAAAAACCTGAGTATTTTTTAATCATTCATTAATTGTCTCTTATTGTTCATAAACAGCCTTATGAAAACGTGTGATCCTTACTGAGACACCATATTGTGGTACTTAATGTGGTACTATATTTGTCACTGGAGATCAAAATAAAGTTTATTGGTCTGCAACATTTACAATTCAGTTTCTTATATTTATATATATAATTCATATATATAATACACATAATATAAATCATATACATTATATATATATATATATACACACACACACGGGAACTTAGAGCTATTTTTAAACATTTGCCAAGTAGAATATACAATATATTAAATTTTTGATATTAAAAGTTTTAAAAAATTTTCTTTCAATGCTAAGAAGGTAGATTTTATGTTAAGTGTCCTTATCATGATTTCAAAAATGCCTTTTCCAAGGCATTCAATTAGGAAAAGAGGAAGTCAAATTGTCCCTCTTTGCAGATGATATGATTGTATATCTAGAAAACCCCATCGTCTCAGCCCAAAATCTCCTTAAGCTGATAGGCAACTTCAGCAAAGTCTGAGGATAAAAAATCAATGTGCAAAAATCACAAGCATTCTTATACACCGATAACAGACAGAGAGCCAAATCATGAGTGAACTCCCATTCACAATTGCTTCAAAGAGAATAAAAACCTAGGAATCCAACTTACAAGGGATGTGAAGGACCTCTTCAAGGAGAACTACAAACCACTGCTCAATGAAATAAAAGAGGATACAAACAAATGGAAGAACATTCCATGCTCATGGGTAGGAAGAATCAATATCGTGAAAATGGCCATACTGCCCAAGGTAATTTATAGATTCAATGCCATCCCCATCAAGCTACCAATGACTTTCTTCACAGAGTTGGAAAAAACTACTTTAAAGTTCATATGGAACCAAAAAAGAGCCTGCATTGCCAAGTCAATCCTAAGCCAAAAGAACAAAGCTGGAGGCATCACACTACCTGACTTCAAACTATACTACAAGGCTACAGTAACCAAAATAGCATGGTACTGGTACCAAAACAGATATAGACCAATGGAACAGAACAGAGGCCTCAGAAATAATGCCACATATCTACCAGTATCTGATCTTTGACAAACCTGACAAAAACAAGCAATGGGGAAAGGATTCTCTATTTAATAAATGGTGCTGGGAAAACTGGCTAGCCATATGTAGAAAGCTGAAACTGGATCCCCTCCTTACACCTTATACAAAAATTAATTCAAGATGGATTAAAGACTTCAATGTTAGACCTAAAACCAGAAAAACCCTAGAACAAAACCTAGGCAATACCATTCAGGACATAGGCATGGGCAAGGACTTCATGTCTAAAACACCAAAAGCAATGGCAACAAAAGCCAAAATTGATAAATGGAATCTAATTAAACTAAAGAGCTTCTGCACAGCAAAAGAAACCACCATCAGAGTGAACAGGCAACCTACAGAATGGGAGAAAATTTTTGCAACCTACTCATCTGACAAAGGGCTAATATCCAGAATCTACAATGAACTCAAACAAATTTACAAGAAAAAAACAACCCCATCAAAAAGTGGGCAAAGGATATGAACAGACACTTCTCAAAAGAAGACATTTATGGAGCCAAAAAACACATGAAAAAATGCTCATCATCACTGGCCATCAGAGAAATGCAAATCAAAACCACAATGAGATACCATCTCACACCAGTTAGAATGGCAATCATTAAAAAGTCAGGAAATAACAGGTGCTGGAGAGGATACGGAGAAACAGGAACACTTTTACACTGTTGGTGGGACTGTAAACTAGTTCAACCATTGTGGAAGTCAGTGTGGCAACTCCTCAGGGATCTAGAACTAGAAATACCATTTGACCCAGCCATCCCATTACTGGGTATATACCCAAAGGATTATAAATCATGCTGCTAGAAAGACACATGCACACATATGTTTATTGTGGCGCTATTCACAATAGCAAAGACTTGGAACCAACCCAAATGTCCAACAATGATAGACTGGATTAAGAAAATGTGGCACATATACACCATGGAATACTATGCAGCCATAAAAAAATGATGAGTTCATGTCCTTTGTAGGGATATGGATGAAGCTGGAAACCATCATTCTCAGCAAACTATCACAAAGGACAAAAACCCAAACATCGCATGTTCTCACTCATAGGTGGGAATTGAACAATGAGATCACATGGACACAGGAAGGGGAACATCACACTCTGGGGCCTGTTGTGGGGTGGGGGGAGTGGGGAGGGATAGCATTAGGAGATATACCTAATGCTAAATGACTAGTTAATGGGTGCAGCACACCAACATGGCACATGTATACATATGTAACAAACCTGCACGTTGTGCACATGTATCCTAAAATTTAAAGTATAATTTTAAAAAATGCCTTTTCCATAATCACACATATTTAAGAATGGAATTCATTCACTTTTGAGTAAAAATTATTCATCTGGGGGATTGTTAAAATGAGGGCTGGATTATCAGTTTCAGAGTAATTTTAGAAAAGACAACATGTTTGAAGAAAGTTTAGCTCTCTAAGTCATGGTTTTATTCTGAGATTCTTTGATTCTACTATTATGTCTGGGTTTATGTAAATAATTACTAAGTATTCCTTTTTTTTTTTACATAAGGCCAGTGCAATCATGCATGATTTTATTGGTGACCAGTTAAAATGAAACTGTTAATTAATGAAAAAAATCCTTTTTACTAGAAAAACCTGTGAACCTGTGTTACAGAAAACGAGTTATGTATAATATTCATTTTTTTAACCTGAAATGCATCGACTACAAGAGTTAGCTAAACCAAGATAATAATTAACTACTTCCCACTGAGGCAATTCCCTGAGGGAGAGGTCCATGAAATCCCCTGCTTTGAACTCATAGTTTTTATCTGAAACACCAACTTTCCTGCACAGGATTTTTGTCCCCAGTGCCTGGACAGCACTGGCTTCATTTCAAATACCCCTTAGTTAATAGGAAATTTAAATGTCCCTGGGCAGTTACATCCTGTTTGGTCCTATATAAAAGCGTTTCAGTCCTTTCCTTACATGGAAATTTCACTGACTGAAACACCAGCTTGATTCTAGAACAAAGATGCTCAGTCTCAGGATCAATTGAGATTTGTTTCTACCGAGAGATCCACTCTGGTGAGTAAAACTTCTTCAAATTTTATGGAATTTATCCAACATTTATGTAGCACCTGCTTAGTGCCAGCGACTATGCGAGTCTTCAAAGTTATAACTCTAAATAAGATACATAATTTCTCACTCCTTAACTAAGAACAGTTTAAATAAGCTGCGATATCTATGCAAATAAGGTAGTATAAATTATAAAAAAGTATATAAAGCATAAAAAAGTTAGTATAAATTATAAGGAATCTTAAATGAATGCAATCTGGGCTCCAAAGAGTGACAATTCTTCTTGGGTCGACAGTTAAACTCAGGTGAATTATAAATGGAAAGAGACAATGTAGCTGTGTTAAAAGATAGTTAAGTATTTGCCAAACAAATGAGGGGAGATTTTTTTTCTTTTTTTTTCTTTTTTTTTTCTTTTTTTTTTTTTTTTTTGAGACGAGTCTCGCTCTGTCACCCAGGCTGGAGTGCAGTGGCGCGACCTTGGCTCACTGTAACCTCCGCCTCCTGGGTTCAAACAATTCTCCTGCCTCAGCCTCCCTAGTAGCTGGGATTACAGGTGCCCACCACCGTGCCCGGCTAATTTTTGTATTTTTAGTAGAGATGGGGTTTCGCCATTTTGGCCAGGCTGGTTTTGAACTCCTGACCTCAGGTGATCTGCCCACCTCAGCCTCCCAAAGTGCTGGGATTACAGGTGTGAGCAACCGTGCTCAGCCATGAGGGGCAATTCTAATGGGAGGACTTCCAGACAGGAGGGATAGTGTGATTTAAGAAAAGAAACACAGCATGGTGATACAACCTGATTGATTTATTAAGAGTAATTAAGTCAGTCGCCATTATTAGACATGGAGATTGGCATGGGGTTAGAGAAGTCACAATGATAGATAATACTGGAATGGCAGTCAGGAAGCATTGTAAAGATATTGTTTGCCATCCTAAGCTTTTTGGGCATCATTGCATAATCAAGTCAATAAAGAGCTAAAAGCTAAATTAATGTTACAAGATGTGATCTGCATCACCATTTGTCCTGGCAACAGCATTGAAGTTGGATTAGAAATACATAAAACTGAAGAATAAAATATTGCCAGAGATAATGAAGGTTTGAACTAATCTGTACGTGTGACAGCAAGATGTAATAACTACAACAGATAGTAAGCAAATAAAATTTTGGTGTTTGATTGGATATACAGATTAAAGCAAAGTTGTGCCATTCTTTGAAATAGGTCACAGTGACAGGGAGATGTCTGGGAGAAGAGATGAGTCCTTATGGGAAAGACCCATTCAGGGACAGTGATGTGCCAACCGTGAAGCAGGATATGAGGACCTGCAACCCAGGGGACCTGCAACCCAGAAGACCTATGGTAGTGCTCGAAACAGCAGACTATTATTTTCTATTGTGTAGGAAAATAGTTAATCTGTCTTCTTTAAAAGGCACAGGAATATTTTTGAGTAAACAAAAGTACAGAAAGAAAGTGTCAGGACAAATTTTTGGAAACCATCAAATTTCAATAAATGTTAAAAGAAGACCCAGATAACGAGACTAAGAAAAAATATTCAGAGAGGAAATAGAAAACCAGAACTAAGTGGCATAGAGCCAATGGAAGTCAGCTGTTTTAGAAGAAAGAACTGTATAATAGTGTCATATATTTGAGAAACAAAATTTAAAATAAAAACAAAATAGAAAGAGTGCATTGAATTTACCGTTGTGATAGTTATTTGTGGATTTGCTGGAGCTGTTTGTGAGGACTCATGAAGCAAGAATGATTAACATGGTTCAAGAATTGAACCAAATGTGCCAGGGCACAGAATGATACCCTATTCTGCTCATAAAGCATGGCTGTAAAGAGAAGGGACATTATAAGTAAGTCCTAAGTGTGGAGTGAAGACTTTTCTTTTTCTTTAAAATGGATGAGTCTTAAGATTATCTCTATCTATCTATCTATCTATCTATCTATCTATCTATCTATCA
The DNA here is from genome assembly GCF_000001405.40 of Homo sapiens. NCBI lineage: Eukaryota > Metazoa > Chordata > Mammalia > Primates > Hominidae > Homo > Homo sapiens. The sequence goes on from NT_167246.2 coordinate 569,338, forward strand.
TCTATCTATCTCTAATCTATCATCTATCAACAGAGCATAGTGAAACAATCTGGTTCATTAAGAGTAATCTCAGTAAATCAACATTATTAGAATTTTTAGACATGGAGTTTGTGTTGATTTTATACACACACATATACAGACACACACACACACATAAAATGTGCACTATTATGAAAGAGAGAGAGAGAGCAAGTGCATACTGTGGCAAAGATGCCCTTTGCGATAGAGCAAGGTTGAGTATAGGGTTGGTCACTGACTTGGAAAGGAAAAAAGAGCTCTTTCTCTGCCTTTGAAACCCTAGAGTGGGTGGAATTAAATCATGTTAGAGATCATTTCGTTTATATACAGGTAGGAAACTGAGGGGCTTAACATATAATTACCTATGTTTTCTCATTGAAGTTATTGGCAATGCTACCTCCCAGGAAATAGAGGAAAATAGTGAAGAAGAGACACAGGATGCTAACTCTTTAGAGCAGCTACTGGAATGAATTAGAGTTTACCTACATAACATATTTGCACATGTACCACTGAACCTAAAAGAGAACTACTTTCAAAAAAATTGAGGGTTTCAACATATGAGAGGTAAAAAACGGAAAAGTTTAGAAATGTTTTGTAGGATAAAATTTGCATACAAGTGGTTAGTGAAGACAGAAAAAAATGCTTGGGGGAAACAAATGACATTGAAAGAATCATTATACTCTCCACCAAAAAATGTTTAGTTTTATTATAAATAAAGTATTTAATGCAGGTATGACTTGGAAGGATTGAACACAGGTTTTATATGTTCTCGCAGTATCATCCTTAATCCTAAGAGTATCTCCACACGTATATGATTCCCTTCCTTCTTATTTGATAAGTGATGAATTAATCAATACAATTTGGAACTAGTGAAATTAAAATGATGAAATTTTCCATTTATTAATCAGATATAAAAATTATTATCTATGTCTTCAAAGAAAATAAAAATGAAAATAGGTTGGTGGGAGTTGTTGAGAGGAGAATATGGTGTGTGCATTCAAGTTTTTTCTTACGATTTTTCTCCTCCTTCCCTCTATGGAGAAACCTTAATGGGGAGGCTAAATGATAGAGGTTTTTCTTAGATTACATTAACAATGTGTATTAGAAGTGGTAAGTAACACGATGCTTTTGATTTTCAAGCCAGAGACAGTAAGTTTTAAAATATAAGTGAATTGCTTTCATCTATTCACATTTTATTTTAAATTCCAAAACTACCATCCAATATTTGGAGCAAGTTAAGCCAGGCATTAAGATTGGCAGCACTGGGGATTAAGCTATATCTTATGGAGGACCAGGAAAACTGTAGGAGCAAGAAAGCTAGAGAAACTTTGAAGAAAGTAACCCCTGTTTTCCTCTGATTCCTACTGCCATGAAGCAGGGGATGTGACCATCAGTGAGGGATTAAGGGCCCTTCCAGCCCTGAGACTGTTCCTTGTGGAAAAAAAAAATTTCCTAAAAATTAGTTTCAGTCAGTTCTCAAAATAAATTACAGCAAAATCAAAAAGATCTTGGTTTAAGTGATTTTTAACCTTTTCCTACAGCTTAGGGATTAATAAATGAAACAAACTACAATATCAGATGCAGTTACTTCAAAATCAGATGCATTAACTCATGTAACTTAGCCATTAAGTTTTTGTCTATATAGAACTGAAATCAATTATGTAGATATCCCGTTAAATAAGTATTTACTTAGAACCTATATGTTAGATGCCTTTGGTCAAGGGTGAAGAAATGGACAGAAATGATGAAGGAATAGTCTTTGTGCAGAAGAAACTCAGTGAAAATGATACTGATTGACCTTTCAACAAATGCACAGATTTAAAAAGAAAAAAAAGAGGCAAAAATTAGTTAGCAGAGTGATTCTGATACACAAAATAATTCTATGATGGTGTTGATTCTATAATAATAGCACATTTAAAATGAAATAGGAAAAGTTACATCATTTAATCCTCCTAACAATTGTTACATCTGGTATAGATTTTTTTTTTGTTTGGTTGGTTATTTTAAGAAATGGGCTCCCACTATCTAATATATTTCAAGTCCTAGAAAGAAATATATATATATATTTTTTCATTCAGGAACTCACAATGAGACACAGCACTAGAAAGATATATACTCTACTACCTAGCATTCTGCCTATCACATAGATTTTAGAAAATCTCTTTATTTCTTCAAATGGATTTGATTGAAAATGTCCAACCCCAAGTTGTCATAAGAATTTTGAGAATTAAACGTTCTTTGACGGTGAACCTTTGTCACTTAGTTGCAAGATCTCCAAAGCTCAGGATTCAATGCCTGATATCAGTGGCATCTGCATTTTACAATTTTGAGACATTTCATTTTTCAAAATTTCTATGAAAAGTTTATTACAATCAAATGTAATCTTTTTAAAGTGTTAAGAGCTTTTCAAAGGAAAAAATATGACTGTTCTTTGAGCTAACCTCTCTTCTAGATTAGCTTCTGAGCTGTTTCTAGATCTGCCTCTGAGCTGTTTCTAGATCCATTTGCAAGGTGGTATCAATAACTTCATGTTAGCTGGTTAGCAAAAGAAGCTATATAGTGCATCGTTGTAATACTAAGGCATCATATAGAAGATGTAATGAGATTGGTATGCTAGAATCATTTTCATTGACTTTATTGAAGGTAAAGACTTTATCATTTCCATCAATTTCTCCCTCTTTGACAATGCAAACTCTGCTCCAGAAAATGTTTATGACTTGTTGATCACATTCAGGGATTCTATTTCTGAATAATTGCTAAAACGTTTTTGAATTGAATATTAACTAATCGCAATGAAAATAAATTCATCTCATTTCAATACCTCCATGCTGAGGAATTGAGTTACTTGACACACAAATATATTAGATGTCATGCATTTTCTTCCTACTGTCTTTGGCTTCCTAAACAGAGTCACACTTGGTATCTTCAGAGAGACTATGGTCAATTTGACTTCAACGAGTGGATTCCTTCTTATGGGGTTTTCTGATGAGCGTAAGCTTCAGATTTTACATGCATTGGTATTTCTGGTGACATACCTGCTGGCCTTGACAGGCAACCTCCTCATTATCACCATCATTACCGTGGACCGTCGTCTCCATTCCCCCATGTATTACTTTTTAAAGCACCTCTCTCTTCTGGACCTCTGCTTCATCTCTGTCACAGTCCCCCAGTCCATTGCAAATTCACTTATGGGCAACGGTTACATTTCTCTTGTTCAGTGCATTCTTCAGGTTTTCTTCTTCATAGCTCTGGCCTCATCAGAAGTGGCCATTCTCACAGTGATGTCTTATGACAGGTACGCAGCAATCTGTCAACCACTTCATTATGAGACTATTATGGATCCCCGTGCCTGTAGGCATGCAGTGATAGCTGTGTGGATTGCTGGGGGCCTCTCTGGGCTCATGCATGCTGCCATTAACTTCTCCATACCTCTCTGTGGGAAGAGAGTCATTCACCAATTCTTCTGTGATGTTCCTCAGATGCTGAAACTAGCCTGTTCTTATGAATTCATTAATGAGATTGCACTGGCTGCATTCACAACGTCTGCAGCATTTATCTGTTTGATCTCCATTGTGCTCTCCTACATTCGCATCTTCTCTACAGTGCTGAGAATCCCATCAGCTGAGGGCCGGACCAAGGTCTTCTCCACCTGCCTACCACACCTATTTGTAGCCACCTTCTTTCTTTCAGCTGCAGGCTTTGAGTTTCTCAGACTGCCTTCTGATTCCTCATCGACTGTGGACCTTGTATTCTCCGTATTCTATACTGTGATACCTCCAACACTCAATCCAGTCATTTATAGCTTACGGAATGATTCCATGAAGGCAGCACTGAGGAAGATGCTGTCAAAGGAAGAGCTTCCTCAGAGAAAAATGTGCTTAAAAGCCATGTTTAAACTCTGAAGAACCATACAAATGAAAGGCATTGTTATTATGTTTCAGATTGGAAGAGAGGTGAATCTTATTTCTACCCAGAATGCTCTTCCAAGCTGTCTATTGTATATATTCCTCTCAAATATAATTCTTTAAAATTTAAGATGTTGTGCTCTAATAATATTAGCTTTCCTTCCTCCCTCCAATTCAAGTGTTATTTTAAGTCATCTTTGGAAAATTTTTCTGAAATGAAGGAGAAAGACAATTAGTTTGGAGTCTGGCCTGTATAATTTAAAACTTGTTATTAACAAATAAGGTTGGAGATAGATGAAGCTAACTGGGTTAATATTATGGTGCATATATGGTATTTCCAGTGGGCCTCCTAGTTTTCTATCCATATTAAGTATTCATATTAAGTTCTTTTACTATTATTACAGTGGTGATTTCAACAATTTATTCAGCCCCTAGTAAGTATCAAGTGCTTTATATATATACATTTTTTTGACTCAAGAAAACAACTCTTCTAGCTATAACATATTGTCCCCATTTTGCCAATAGGAACAATAAATTTAGGAAGGATTAGTTAATTTTCCTGAGATTTCTCAAATAAATGGTAGTTAAGCTCTGATTCAAATTAATATTTGTCTGACTCAAACAATAAGGTCATTTATGTTCCTTACTGATGGCAAATGCATTATTACCCAAATGTGAGTGTGTATGTTTATGTGTGTGTGTGATGTGTATAATCTATAAATATAAGCATATACTACTATAATCTATTAATAAAATTGTCATCACCCTTGTGCATCCCTATTACTGGAGGTATTTATATTAATTCCTTTACTTTTCTGATCTGTACAAGAGTTTGACAAATTGGTTTTACAGAGTTAGGCAGGGGATGCTCCCTAGTTCCATGAAACAGAATATAGATAAACTGCAAATGAAGAGTTCCAACTTATGAATGTGTGAGATAAGGAGGCACAAATCTTGTGAATCTGAATATCTGATTCAATTTTGTGTAATGCTGCAGATTTCTTCAAGAAAGACTCATAATTTACAAGAGTACAAAACTGGACTAGTCCCCTCAGTTTTGAAGTAAATCAAAGTGCATGTTTTAATGACAAAGGGAATAAGCAATTGCTCAGTAATGGGGAATGTTTTTATAGGACTTTTTTGAATTAATGGTTATAATATCTACATATGCATATACCTTAGTAAGTTTTTTTTTCTTTAATCTGCCACATGAGATTTTTTCTTTTTTTTATATACTTTAAGCTCTGGGGTACATGTGCAGAACTTGCAGGTTTGTTACGTAGGTATATACATGCCATGGTGGTTTGCTGCACCCATCAACCTGTCAACTACGTTAGGTATTTCTCCTAATGCTATCCCTCCCTTACCCCCTCACCCCCAAACAGGCCCCAGTGTGTGATGTTCCCCTACCTGTGTCCATGTGTTCTCATTGTTCAGCTCCTACTTATGAGTGAGAACATGCAATGTTTAGTTTTATGTTCTTGTGTTAGTTTGCTGAGAATGATGGTTTCCAGCTTCATCCATGTCCCTGCAAAGGACATGAAATCATCTTTTTTATGGCTGCATAGTATTCCATAGTATTCCATGGGTGTATATGTGCCACCTTTTCTTTATCCAGTGTATTATTGATGGGCATTTGGGTTGGTTTCAAGTCTTTGCTATTGTGAACAGTGCCACAATAAACATACGTGTGCATGTGTCTTTATAGTAGAATGATTTATAATCCTTTGGGTATATACCCTGTAAAGGGATTCCTGGGTCAAATGGTATTTTTGGTTCTAGATCCTTGAGGAATCGCCACACTGTTTCCACAATGGTTGAACTAGTTTACAGTCCCACCAACAGTGTAAAAGTGTTCCTGTTTCTCCACGTCCTCTCTAGCATCTGTTGTTTCCTGCCTTTTTAATGATAGCCATTCTAACTGGCATGAGATGGTATCTCATTATGGTTTTGATTCACATTTCTCTGATAACCAGTGATGATGAGCTTTTTTTCATATGTTTGTTGGCCACATAAATGTCTTATTTTAAAAAGTGTCTGTCAGGCCGGGGCATTGGCTCATGCCTGTAATCCCAGCATTTTAGGGGGCCGCAGCAGGCAGATCACGAGGTCAGGAGATTGAGACCATCCTGGCTAACATGGTGAAACTCCATCTCAACTAAAAATACAAACACTTAGCTGGGCGTGGTGCCATGAACCTGTAATCCCGGCTACTCAGGAGGCTGAGGCAGGAGAATCGCTTGAACCTGGAGAATCCCAAAAGTGTCTGTTCACATCCTTCGCCCACATTTTGATGGGGTTGTTTGTTTTTTTCTTGTAAATTTGTTTAAATTCTTTGTAGATTCTGGATATTAGCCCTTTGTCAGATGGATAGATTACAAAAATTTTCTCCCATTCTGTAGGTTGCCTATTCACTCTGCTGATGATTTCTTTTCCTGTGCAGAAGCTCTTTAGTTTAATTTGATCCCATTTGTCAATTTTGGCTTTTGTTGTCATTGCTTTTGATGTTTTAGTCATGAAGTCTCTGCCCATGCCTAAATCCTGAATGGTATTGCCTAGGTTTTCTTCTTGGGTTTTTATGGTTTTAGGTCTTACGTTTAAGTCTTTAATCCATCTTGAGTTAATTTTTGTATAAGGTATAAGGAAGGAGTCCAGTTTCAGTTTTCTGCATATGGCTAGCCAGTTTTCTCAACAGCATTTATTAAATAGGGGATTCTTTCCCCATTGCTTGTTTTTGTCAAGTTTGTCAAAGATCAGATGGTTGTAGATGTGTGGCATTATTTCTGAGGCCTCTGTTCTGTTCTGTTGGTCTATATATCTGTTTTGGCACCAGTAACATGCTGTTTTGGTTACTGTAGCTTTGTAGTATACTTTGAAGTCAGGTAGCATGATGCTTCCAGCTTTGTTCTTTTTGCTTAGGATTATCTTGGCTATGTGGGCTCTTGTTTGGTTCCATATGAAATTTAAAGTAGTTTTTTCCTATTCTGTGAAGAAAGTCAATGGTAACTTGATGGGGATAGCATTGAATCTATAAATTACTTTGGGCAGTATGGCCATTTTTCATGATATTGATTCTTCCTACCCATGAGGATGGAATGTTTTTCCATTTGTTTGTGCCCTCTCTCCTTGAGCAGTGGTTTGTAGTTCTCCTTGAAGAGGTCCTTCACATGCCTTGTAAGTTGTATTCCTGGGTATTTTATTCTCTTTGTAGCAGTTATGAATGGGAGTTCACTCATGATTTGGCTCTCTGTTTTTTTTATTATTGGTGTATAGGAATGCTTGTGGTTTTTGCACATTGATTTTGTATCCTGAGACTTTGCTGAAATTGCTTATAAGCTTAAGGAGATTTTGGGCTGAGACGATGGGGTTTTCTAAGTATAGAATCATGTCATCTGCAAACAGAGACAATTTGAATTCCTCTCTTTCTATTTGAATACCTTTTATTTTTTTCTCTTGCCTGATTGCCCTGGCCAGAACTTCCAACATTATGTTGAATAAGAGTGGTGAGAGAGGGCATCCTTGTCTTGTGACAGTTTTCTCAGGGAATGCTTCCAGGTTTTGCCCATTCAGTATGATATTGGCTGTGAGTTTGTCATAGATAGCTTTTATTATTTTGAGATACATTCCATCAATATCTAGTTTATTGAGAGTTTTTAGCATGAAGGGCTGCTGAATTTTGTCGAAGGCCTTTTCTGCATCTATTGAGATAATCATGTGGTTTTTGTCATTGGTTCTGTTTATGTGATAGATTCCATTTATTGATTTGCATATTTGAATCAGCTTTGCATCCCAGGAATGAAGCTGACTTGATCATGGTAGATGAGCTTTTTGATGTGCTGCTGGATTCGGTTTGCCAGTATTTTATTGAGGATTTTCACATCAATGTTCATCAGGGATATTGGCCTGAAATTTTCTTTTTTTGTTGTGTCTCTGCCAGGTTTTGGTATCAGGTTGATGCTGGCCTCATAAAATGAGTTATGGAGGATTCCCTCTTTTTCTATTGTTTGGAATATTTTCAGAAGGAATGGTACCAGCTCCTTTTTGTACTTGCGGTAGAATTCGTCTGTGAATCTGTCTGGTTCTGGGCTTTTCTTGGTTGGTAGGCTATTAACTACTACCTCCATTTCAGAACTTGTTATTGGTCTATTCAGGCATTAGACTTCTTCCTGGTTTAGTCTTGGAAGGGTTTATGTGTCCAGGCATTTATCCATTTTTTCTAGATTTTCTAGTTTATTTGCATAGAGATGTTTATAGTATTCCCTGATGGTAGTTTCTATTTCTGTGGGATCAGCAGTGATATGCCATTTATCATTTTTATAGTGTCTATTGATTTTTCTCTCTTGTCTTCTTTATTAGTCTGGCTAGCAGTCTACTTTGTTAATTATTTCAAAAAAACCAGCTCCTGGATTCATTGATTTTTTGAATTTTTTTGTGTGTGTCTCTATCTCCTTCATTTCTGCTCTGATCTTAGTTATTTCTTGTCTTCTGCTAGCTTTTGAATTTGTTTTCTCTTGCTTCTCTAGTTGTTTTAATTGCGATATTAGAGTGTCGATTTTAGATCTTTCCTGCTTTCTCCTGTGGGCATTTAGTGCTATAAATTTCCCTTTAAACACTGCCTTAGCTGTACTCCTGCAGCTAGCTCAGTCTCTGCGCAAACAGCCGCCCAGTTTTGTGCTTGAAACCCAGGACCCCAGTAGCGTAGGCACCCAAGGGAATCTACTGTTCTGTGGTTTGCGAAATCCATGGGAAAAGCGTAGTATCTGGGCTGGAGTGCACTGTTCCTCATGGCTCAGTCCCTCATGGCTTCCCTTGGCTAGGGGAGGGAGTTGTCTGACCCCTTGCGCTTCCCGGGTGAGGCGATGCCCCACCCTGCTTCGGCTAGCCCTCCCTGGGCTGCACCCACTGTCTAACCAGTCCCTGTGAGATTAGTCGGGTATCTCAGTTAGAAATGCAGAAATCATCTGGCTTCTGCATTGATCTCAGTGGGAGCTGCAGACCGAAGCTGTTTCTATTCCACCATCTTTCCAGCCACCCACACTGATTTCTAAAGTAGTTGTTCCATATTATATTCCCTAGATAATCAAGAATTGTTATAAAGGGCTGGGCGTGGTAGCTCACGCCTGTAATCCCAGCACTTTGGGAGGCCGAGGTGGACGGATGACGAGGTCAGGAGATCAAGACCATCTTGGCTACCTTGTCAGGTGTTTTGAAAAACTTTTAGCTTTTTAAACACATTCATGGTGATATATATCGATGAGTTTATTTTGTATTGCCCTGTTCAACAAGGTTGAACATCTTTTCCTGGACTTATTAGTTATTTGTGTGTCTTCATTTGTGAAGTTTTTGCTCAGACACTTGGCCCATTTTTAAAACAAGTTGTTAATCTTTCTATTATGAAGACATTTACATATGTGTGTATATATGTATATATACTGGATAAAAATCTTTTGTCAGATACACGTATTACAGATGTTTTTTCTAATCTCCTGTGATTGTCTTTTTTTTCCATCAGGTTCTTTTGGAGAGTAAAACTTTAAAAATTTTGATGTAGTTCAATCTATCAACTTTGTGTTTTATAATTCATGTTTGGTGTCCTATCTTCCAAAAATACCTTCTTTAAAATTACAAAGTTTTTTTTCTTTTGAGACAGGGTCTCACTCTGTCACCCAGGCTGGAGTGCAGTGGTGCAATCTTGGCTCACTGCAACCTCCGCCTCCTGGTTCAAGCAATTCTCGTGCCTCAGACTCTCAAGTAGCTGAGATTACAAGTGTGTGCTGCTATGCTGGCTCATTTTCTTTCTTTCTGTCTTTTTTGTTTGTTTGTTTGTATTTTTAATAGAGATGGGATTTCAGTATGTTGGCCAGGCTGGTTTTGAACTCCTCACCTCAAATGATCCACCTGCCTTGGCCTCCTAATATGCTGGGATTACAGGCATGAGCCACCGCGCCCGGCCTAAAATTATAAAGGTATTTTTCTATGTGACCATTTAGAAAATGAATAGTTTTAGCTTCTATATTAATTAAGTCTGTGATCCTTATTGAGTTAATTTTTGAGTGTAGTATAAAGTGAGTGTTAATGATCATTCTTTTTCTATACAGATATATAGTTTTTAGTGTGATTTATTGAAAAGACATTATTTTCCCCCATTGATTTGCCTTAGCACCTTGTCAATATATGGGCTTACTATTCTTTTTCATTGATCTATGTGTTTATTTTTAACTAATACCATACCATACTGATTTCAGCAACTTTATAACGATTTTTTTTTGAGACGGAGTCTTGCTCTGTCGCCCAGGCTGGAGTGCAGTGGCACCATCTCGGCTCACTGCAAGCTCCGCCTCCTGGGTTCACGCCATTCTCCTGCCTCAGCCTCCTAAGTAGCTGGGACTATAGGCGCCCACCACCATGCCTGGCTAATTTTTTTGTATTTTTAGTAGAGACGGGGTTTCACCGTGGTAGCCAGGATGGTCTCGATCTCCTGACCTCGTGATCCGCCCACCTCGGCCTCCCAAAGTGCTGGGATTACAGGCATGAGCCACCACGCCGTGCCCTTTATAACAATTCTTGAAGTCAGGTAGTTTAATGCCTCTAATCTTTTGATTTTCTAGGCTTTGATTTTCCAAGTCTTCTGCATTTCCATATACACTTTAGAATTAGCTTGTTAATTCGTACTAAAAAGAAGCATGCTGGCATTTTTATTAGGATTGCATCAAATCTATAGATCATTTCTGAGAAAATAGAAGTCTTAATATTGAGTCATTTAATTCATAAACACAACATAGCTTCCCATTTTTTAGGTCTTTAATTTCTTTCAGTAACGTTACATGGCTTTCAGTGAGGCAGTCTTGTTCCTTTATTAAATTTATTACTAATTATTCACATTTTAAGTTTTGAATACAAAAATTACACTTCATGCTCCTTAAATTGTTTCAAATGTTGTAGAAATAACATTAAAATAAGAATTTCCTCTTTAATAGTGATTCCTAGAGGTTATCACTATTTTAATTTTGATATATATATATAGACAAAATTGCATATATTATTTCTTTTTTCCTTTTATTATGTGGTTGGATCTCAAGTGCAGAAGGTTGAGTTCATTACATTTATCAGTTCATGGCACCCTGTCCTCATTAATATGTGCACGATCTCTCTCATCTTACTTTATTTAAAACATTTCTTTCCTGTCTGTTTCTACTACCATTCCCCCTAAGGAAAACAATTATTATAAGTTTCATGTGTAACATTTTATGGGCTCTTAATTTCTATTAGTATTGTTGTTTTAGGATATTTTATTCTATAAAATAGTATTACATTATAATCTTATTCAGTTTCTTACTTTTTTTCACTCAGCACACTACTTTTAAGAGCTATCACGTTACAATGTCTACATCTAGCCCACTTTTTCTAAAAACTGCATTTTTTTGATGTTGTACATCCTCAACCTTCGCAAATCTGCTCTCCCGTTGATGGACATCTGGGTTGCTTCTAATTCCCCATTACCATAAATTATGCCAAACAACTGTTGTTATGGACCTGTGTAAGGATTTATTTAGGATATATACCTGGAAGCAAAATTGCTCAGGTCCAATATATGAGAGACTTAATTTGAATTTTTATACCCAGAATGTGCTCCAGAATGCTTCCATGAGGCTACACTCCTACCAGCGGGGCAGACGTGTTCCTGTCATTTCCTCACCTGTCCCAATTCTTGGCACTACCCTGCTTTCTAATACTTACTACTCAAATAGAATACAATGTTACCTCACTTTTAAACTTTGGAGAAATTTTAAACCTGTAAAAAATTTGTAAAAACAATACAGAGGCTTCTCTTTTTATCCCTCACCTTGTTTCCCTAATGTTACTATCTTAACAAAATCATAACACTTCTCTCTTTATAAAATAGCCTAAATAGCTTGAGGTGTTTTTTTATTTTTGTTTTTTCGCTTTTAACTTTTTGGAACACTTTTTGCTCATATCTCTCGATCTGCTTTCTTATGCCTGTGCTAGCGTATAATAAAACTATAATAATAATAATGACATGTAATAAGTACTACTTATGCCAAGGATTATTCTAGGCTTCAAAGGTATTATTGTGTTCAACATTTACAATAAATCTTGTGAGGCAAATAATATTGATATTCCTACTTTAAAGATAAGGAAATTAAGGCACAGGTCACTAATCAACTTATCTACAGTCACTAGCAAACTACTAGCTAACCTGGGACTCAAACTCAAGGCAGTTTGGCCCCCAAGTTTTCATTCTTTACCACTATGGTATTTTAAGGAAAAATTCGATATTATTTTATGAATATAGTTTTGCTTCTCTTTTTTTCAGTTGCAAAAGACCTAACGCATCTGATATATCAAAATATATCAGTCAACCATTATGCAGAAAAGGGTTAACTTTTCATGTCTGTGTTGCAGAACCCTGTATATTCCCAAGAAAGGCCTATATTCAGGACTGGCCCTTGGCAGGCTCCTGGAAGAGGAGCTCTAAGTTCTTTGAATATCCTGCCTAATAAAATGTTTTTTTTAAAATAATTTGTTTTATTGGGTCACAATATAAATTTGATCAGATAGATTATGCTAACAAGGTGATTTATGGTGCCTATTTTTGCTCTGGTGGGCTGGGGTCTGAGTAGCTGAGGTCAGTTACACAGGTGCCGTATGCCTACCTGACTGATCCCCCATAAAAACCTTCTACATCAAACTTGAGTGAACTTCCTGGTTGGCATTATTCTGCATGTGTTATCGTACCATTGATGGCACAATTAAGCACATCAATGTAACTCACTGGAAGAAAACACCTGGAAGCTTATTCCTGGTTTCTCCTAGACTCCCGGCACCTCATGCACTTTTTCCCTTTGTTCATTTTTAATATGATAACTTTTCAATACTAACAGGGACACAAATATGCACATAACACATTATGCCATGTCTTATATCTTTCTTGAGTTGACGTTCTATGAGATATATTATCACATCAACACATGAGTTAAAATTGTCCTATTATCCATACCTTTCAATGCTGTCCATGTTGTTAAATTATAGCAGCTTTCTATTTTGATTTATAAATGGACAGGGATATATCAGTAAGACACTACCAGAGTAGTGCAGTGAATATGCATGCATTCTTACATGTTTACAGAGAGAGATAGGAAAATAAAAGGAAAGGAATGGGATGGAAAGAAAAGGAAAGAAATAAATAAATGAAAGAAAAGAAAATGAAAGAATAAGAAAGGAAAGGGAAGGAATGCCAGCCTTTCCCTAAAGACACATGACACAACTTGAGACCAAAAGTCATAGCATTATAAACAGAATCCCTACGTTTATAACTCTTTCTGTTTGATTTTTACCCTCAGAAGGAAGATTACAAAAAACAATGCAACTGAAATTCATACTTCATAATAATGGTTAAAGCAATAACCATTAATAGTTCATAAGATTTGAGTCCAATAACTTTTAAAGGCATAATTCTTTATGAGCGTATTTTATTTCCCTTTATGCGCAGCTCTAGGCTCCTTTTCCTACTTCCCTGTTTCTAAAAGGTATCCACTATACATTTCTGAAAAATTATGTTTTTGCCTTTGACATCTAAAGCTTCCTGATATAATGTGAAATCATTCTTCAAAGTAGGTTTAGCAATTTACACCCTTACCAACCTTGTATATGAGCTCTCAGAGCTTTACATACTTATCCAACGAGTTACTACTCTAAGGATACTGACAGATACAGCACACTCTACTTTTAATTTGCTTTTTCTATCTTATTAGACATTTTTGTTTGTGTGTTTACTAGGCATTTGGATTTGTTTGCAGACTTTTGCTCATTTTCATTTTGGCCATTTTCTTTTTCTTATTTTTAAGGGAATTATGTGTCTCTTTAGAATACTAAACTGTGCCACTTAATAGAAGTGGCAGATATCCCTTTCCCTTCTGTAGCCTGATTTTTCATTCATTCTGTGGTTTCCTTTGATGTGAAGATGCTCTAATTTTAGATTGCAGAATTATTAAAATAAGTCTTTCTCTCTATGCTAAAGTCTTTTTTAGTTCTTTTGTTAAGGAATGTTTTCCACTCCCAAGGACATAAAGATAATCACTTTATAGGTACTTTAAAAAGTTTTAAAGTTTTGACTTTAATATTTCAATCTTTAATCCACCTGAAACTCATTTTTAGATACACTCATAGTGAGAAATATTTCAATCTATCTTTCTTTTCTTAATGTGGAAAACCAATTGCCCCAGTGCCATTTACTGACTTGCAATGTGTGTGTGTGTGTGTATGTATATATATATATATACATACACACACAGATCTCTTTGGTGTCCTCTCTTTTTGTCCACTCATCTACCTGTCTGTTCCTGTGCTAACACTGTACTGTCTTATTTCCTATACATTGTAAATCTTGCTATTAGAACAAATCTCTGAATTTTATTCCTGTTTTTTTTACTTTTTTTTGTTATCTTGCACTCTTCCCTCTTTGCATAAATGTGAGAATTGGTGCAATAAATTTTTTTATAAATTAAAAGTATCTTTTAATTAAAATTTCATTGACTCTATATGTTAGCAAAAAAATAAAGTTACTAAAGATAACTCCTCAACCATTATCAAGGTAAATATCCATGTTTATTTAGATCTTCTCTAATGTATTTCAGTAAAGTTTTATAATATTCTGTGTAAAGCTTTTCTATGTTCTATTAGATTTACATCTGGACATTATTACTTTGGTAGTTATCAAAATTATGTTTTCCAAACTACATTTTACTCTTTGTTGCTGGTATATAGAAATATACCAATTTGATACCTGGGCCAAGGGATTTGCTAAATTATCTCATTTTTCTAATGTTTTATCTGCAGATTCTTAGGGATTTTTTTTTTTTTCTTGAGACGGAGTCTCGCTCTGTGGCCCAGGCTGGAGTGCAGTGGCGCGATCTCAGCTCACTGCAAGCTCCACGTCCCGGGTTCACGCCATTCTCCTGCCTCAGCCTCCGGAGTAGCTGGGACCACAGGCGCCTGCCACCACGCCCGGCTAATTTTTTTGTATTTTTAGTAGAGACGAGGTTTCACTGTGTTAGCCAGGATGGTCTCGATCTCCTGACCTCGTAATCCACCCGCCTCGGCCTCCCAAAGTGCTGGGATTACAGGCATGAGCCACCGCGCCCGGCCAGGGATTTTTTTAAGTAGGGAAATATAGCTCCTATAATTAAGGAAAGTTTTTAAACTTCCATTCTAGTTCCTATGAATTTTCTTTATCTTAATGCACCAGCTAAAACAATCAAAACAGTGTGGAATTAAAGTGATAACAAGTGGCAGTCATGTCTTGTTCTCACTGAGTACATGTTTTGACCTAGGTTTTAGATGGACAACTGTTTCATTTATCTATTTTTGTATAAGGAGACATCCCAAAACAGTGACTTCAAACAATAACTATTTAACTTATTTACTTTAGCAGAGCTTGGTAAAGACAGCTTGCCACTGTTCCAATAAAGTTAGTATTAGGTTTTACCTAGAAGTCTAGCTAGAGCTGTTGGCTGGTCCTCCATATGGTTCTCCATATGACCTTTCTACATGGCTAGGTTGGGCTCCTCACAAAATGATGGCTAGGTTCCAAGGATAATCTGAAGAACCGGTGTTTGAAGAATATAAGCCACAGGTACAACCATTTATCAAGCCTCTGCTTAGATCTGTCACATTGGTCAAACTTATCACATGGCCAACTGTGGAGTAAGTCATTGTGAAACAAACGTGAGTACTGGGGGCATGGTTCCTTGAGCCCACTAAAGTACTGATCTACCCCAGGAGCCTTTATTAAATTGACAAAGTCCCTTCTTATTTCAGGTCTGCTAAACTTTTCATCATAAATATATGCTGACTTGTATGCAATGTTTCTTTTTCCTATGTCTATTAAGACCATCATACAGTTTTAATTCTTTTATTCATCATTTATTCATGTGAATTTATTGGAACTCCAACTGAAAATCCAGTAGTGATGAATTAGACAAAGTTTTCATATTCATGAAGTGCAATCTATAGTGGTAGAGAAACCACTAACAAATAAACATGTAAGCATGAACCGGGTTAGATGGCAACACACATTACAGAGCTAAAGAAAGCAAGGCAAGTGACATAGTGCAGGAAACAAACTATTTCATATTGTAAAGTTTTCACTAATAGCACCACATGTAAAAATAAAGCTTAAATACAGTTAGCTAATTGAGTATCTGAGGAAAAACATTCCAAGCAGAGAAACCAATGCAAAGTCCAGAGATAGGAGCATTCTTAGAATGTATAATTAATAGCAAGGAAGCCAGTATATTTTTTAAATTGTTCTTCATCATTACTAAATTATATTCACTATTTTTTCAAACCTATTGGCATAACGTTTCATAATTTATTCTTTTATCTTATCTTATTTTTGTGGTTACCTGAAGTTACATTTCCTTTCAATCCCTAATATTATTAATTTGTGCATTATCAGCTATTATTCTTAAAAGATTTTGCCAGAAATTTGACATTTAATATCTTTCCCTCTATTGTTCTTAATTTCAATAACTCTTGCTCTTATCGTAACACTGTATCATTTCTTCCACTTATTTTGAAATTTTTCCATTTGTATTTGTAATTTTTCACATTAGAGACTTAGCTAGTTAACATTTATTTTTTTCTTTTTTAATGTAAGTATTTATGGCTAAAATTATCATTAAAATCAGTTTAGCATATTTGTCATAAATTTGGTGATGTTTATATGTGATGTGATTCTTGATACTTGATTCTATGCCATAGTTCTAGTTAGTTATCATAGCTTTGTAAGTTTTGATATCCAGTGGTGTGACTTCTCCAACTTGGTTTTTCTTCATGTCATTGTGGCTTTTGGTTGCATGCATTTAGATATTAATAGAATCATTTTGTGAATTTCCATAAAGCCAAAAACCTGCTTGCATTTTACTGAGAATCACAATGAATTTAAACATAAATTTGGGAAGAATTGACTTCTTAGCAATATTGAAACTTCCACTTTATAAAAATGTAATATTCCTTGATTTATTTGTCTATTTAAAATTTTTTTAGTAATCGTTTGTAGTTTTCAATGTAGAGATTTTGCCAATATTTAATTAAATTTGTTCCTAAATATTGGGAGGCTTTTGATGCTACTAAAATTTTATGGCCTTTGTATTTTATTTAGTTTACTATTTAATTCTAATAGTTTAGGTATATTTCCTTTCCAGATCTTTATGTACCCAACCACATCATCTATTTTCAAATTTTATACCTTCTTTGTCATTTTCCTGGCTCTATTGGGCTACTGAGAAGAAATATTGACAGTAGTCATTCTTATCTTATTTCTTAACCTATAGTGGAAATTTAAAGTATTTCATCAAGTATGATATATACTGTAGCTTTTATGTAGAGTCTTTTCTTCAGATCAAACATTCCCTTTTCATCTGAGTATGCTCAGTAATTCAGCGATTTTATCTTTAGTAAATGTTAAATTTTTTCAAATGTTTTGCTGTATCTATTGGAATGGTTAAAGTTATTTTTCGTCTGTGTGTATGTCTGTGTGTGTGTGTGTATAATGTCTTCGTTTAATTTTGTTATCAAGTTGATACTGGCCTCATAAGACAAATTGGAAGTGTTTCTTCTTCCCTATTTCCTGGACAATTTTGTGTAATAAAATTTTATCTATCTATTTATTTATTTATTTTTAAACATTTTATTTTGACATAATTTCAAGGTTACATAGAGATTATCAGAATAGAACAAATAATACTCATATATCCTTTACCCAGATTCACAAATTATTAACATTTTTGCCCTAGTTGCTTTATCATTTACTCTTTTAATAAACATTTTTTTAACCTTTTGAACAATGTGTATTTCCTAAGAACAGATATTCTCTTGCATAACTAGTAAAATGACCAATAATAAAAAAATACCATTCATACAATAATATTATGTCATCCAGAGTCAATATTCAAATTTAATCCATTATCCAAATGATATCCTATATTGATTTTATTTCCCAGTCTAAAATTCAACTCAGGAATAAAAATTTCACTTAGTGGTCATGTCCTTTGAGGGTCTTTTAATCTGGATTAGCTCCTCAGTCTTTTCTCTTATAACGTTGGCAGCTTGGAGTTCCTGTTATTTTGTAGAATGTCACTCAGTTTGGGTCTGTCTGATATTTCCTCTGATTAGATCTAGGTCATAAATGTCATATAGGAAAATAGACATGAGATTGTCTTCTCAGCACATTACATCAGAAGGCACATGTTGATCTGTCCCATTACTGGTGATATTAGCTATAATCAGTTGGCTAAGATGGTTCTGCCAGGTTTCTCCATTATAAATTTACTATTTTCCCCTTAGTAATTTATAAGTAATTTGTGGAGAGGTACTTTGACAATACATAAATATTCTTTATTCCCCAAACTTTGACCTACTCATTTAAGTATTCACTGATAATTTTTGCTTAAATTTTTGCTTATAATTTTTATTATAATTGTAGCAAAATGGTGATTTTCTAAGTCTACCATCTCTTTCACATTTATTAGTTGATGTGCTACTTAAAGATATTAAATCCCCTTCTATTAAACAATTTTTTTAATTTATTTTTTATTTCAATAGGTTTTTGGGGAACAGATGGTGTTTGGTTACATGAATAAGGTCTTTAGTGGTGATTTTTGAGATTTTGGTAAACTCATCACCCAAGCAGTGTACACTGTACCCAATATGTAGTATTTTATCCCTCACCCTGCTCCCACCCTTTCCCCTGAGTCCTCAAAATCCATTCTGTCATTCTTAGGCCTTTGCATCCTCATAGCTTAGCTCCCACTTATGAATGAGAACATGTGATGTTTGGTTTTCCATTCCTGAGTTACTGCACTTAGAATAATGGTCTCCAATTCCATCTCAGTTGCTGTGAATGCCATTATTTTGTTCCTTTTAATGGCTGAATAGTACTCCATGGTGTATACGTATACATCTCCCATATGTTCTTTATCCACTCATTGATTGATGGGCATTTGGACTGGTTACATATTTTTGCAGTTGCAAATTGTGCTGCTATAAACATGTGTGTGCAAGGAATCTTTTTCATATAATGACTTCTTTTCCTCTGGATAGATACCTAGTAGTGGGATTGCTGGATCAACTGGTAGTTCTACCTTTAGTTCTTTAAGGAATCTCCACATTGTTTTCCATAATGGTTATACTAGTTTACATTCCCACCAACAGTGTAAAAGTGTTCCCTTTTCACCACATCCACGCCAACATCTATTATTTTTTGAATTTTTGATTATGGCCATTCTTGCAAGAGTAACGTGGTATCACACTGTGGTTTTGATTTACATTTCCCTGATCATTAGTGATGTTGAGCATTTTTCCATATGCTTGTCGGCCATTTGTATATCTTCTTTTGAGAGTTGTCTATTCCTGTCCTTAGCCCAATTTTTGATAGGATTCTTTGTTTTCTTCTTGCTGATTTGTTTGGGTTCTTCGTAGATTCTGGATATTAGTCCTTTGTCAGATGTATAGATTGTGAATATTTTCTCCCACTCTGTAAGTTGTGTGTTAACTCTGCTGATTATTTCATTTGCTGTGCAGAAGCTTTTTAGTCCTATCTATTTATCCTTGTTTTTGTTGCATTTGCTTTTGGGTTCTTGGTCATGAAATCGTTGCCTAAGCCAATATCTAGAAGGGTTTTTCTGATGTCATGAGTTTTTATGGTTTCAGGTCTTAGATTTAAGTATTTGACTCATTTTCAGTTGATTTTTGTATAAGGTGAGAGATGATGATCCAGTTTCATTCTCCTATATGTGGCTTGCCAATTATCCCAGCACCATTTGTTGAACAGGGTGTCCTTTCCCCACTTCCTGTTTTTCTTTGCTTTGTCAAAGATCAGTTGGCTGTTAAGTATTTGGTTTTATTTTTGGGTTATTTATTCTGTTCCATTAGTCTATGTGCCTATTTTTAGACCAGTACTGTGCTGTTTTGGTGACTATGGCCTTACAGTATAGTTTGAAGTTGGATAATGTGATGCCTCCAGATTTGTTCTGTTTGCTGAGTCTTGCTTTGAATATGCAGGCTCTTTTTAGGTTCCATATCAATTTTAAAATTGTTTTTCTAATTCTGTGAAGAATGGTGGGGGTATTTTGATGGGAATTGCATTGAATCTGTAGATTGCTTTTGGCAGTATGGTCATTTTCAAAATATTGATTCTACCCATCCATGAGCATAGGATGTGTTCCCATTTGTTTGTCTTGTCTATGATTTCTTTGTAATAAAATTTTAAACAAAACATTAATGGACATAATATGTAGCACCATTAAGTGTCCATTTTTGAGTCACTCTGCTAAGCACTTTACAGAATTATTTATTCAATATGCTCATTTTACAGATGCAGAAAGATTAAGCGACTAAAGTCACCTCACAAAGGATAAATGGTAGCACTAGAATTAAACCCAAGCAATCTGACTGTAGTTGTTATGTACTTATATATGATACAGTATGCCTTCTATTATTAAGTATAAAAAATAACAAATGATAAATTCCTCATGTTGGCTAGACTGAGGGAGAACAATACTGGAAGCAATATAATATTTTACAATAATTTTAGAGAGGAATTTATCAATATTTAAATGCATACAGTTTTAGAAATAAACTTAAACTGAATAATCTTATATTCTTTAATTTTAAGGAAAAAACCAACTGCAGAAAATGCAATATTTATAAATACGCTTATGCTATCACTTAGTTGTTATGTTATTCATAATTAAGAAAAAATATTAATAGAGCTATTTAACCTGGTTTGTTGAATGTGATAATGATTACAGAAAACATTGACTAATGCTGCTTATAATAATGAAAAACTGGAAAAGTGACTGGTATACAATAGGCAATCAATAAATATTTGTTAAATAAATAAAGAAAATTTTTCTGCAAATTGTGAATTGTTATCTGAGCAGAATGCTATGTAGCCTTTAAAAAAATAATGTATATCCACATAGCTTCAGAGGAATTTTTGTAACAATTATATTATTATTAAAAATACTAAAATGTGTATACAAGATGGTGAGACAACTCCAAAATATAAAACAACATTATGGACTTACCTTTATTTCTAAGTACTTACAAAGTTGTTGCAAAAATTTTAATATACATATTAATGGATTTAGCTATCATATGAGATTTGCAGATATTGTTGCTAGATTTGTTTTTGAATATTTCAGTAGATATTTCTGATTGTTAGAGATCATAATTTATGACCAAAATAGCTGTTCTAAATCTAATTTTGACACAAAGGCTCAAATTTGTAGCATAAAAAAATGTTAAGTACTGACTTCTAGTTTTCCAGGAGGTCTGGCATTAGAGATCCATTAATTTTTAAAGGGTTAAATGTTCCTGTTTCTTTTTTGGAAATATGTGATTTAGAGTGCATTGATTCTCCAAGTTTGGCTCTTGGACTAGCAGCAGCAGTACCTGGGTGCTTGTTAGGCATTCAAATTCATGAGTGCCATTCCAGACCTACTGAATCAGAATTCATGAGTTTGAGGCTTAGACTTAGGTCCTTATGTTTTAACAAGATCTTCAGGCAACTCAAATGTCTGCTAAAATTTGAGAACCAATGCTAAGGATGACAAAACCCCATAACTTACTAAACTATTTCCCTTCTATATGAAAATTTTAAGGGCTCCAAATTCCAGGTGTTAGAAGAGTACGAAATTGAAATATTTTTATCATATAGTCCAGACTTCCAGTATGAAAGACGTAAAATAAAAAAAGTCCTGAATCTTCTAAGGAAACAATATGTTTAAAAGTATCTGAGAGTAGATTTGAGAGTTTTAAAAAAAACTGTTTTTAAAGACGTAAAGTAGAGCTATGAGCTCACCAAAGTCCACTGAAGTTCGCCAAAGAGCTGAGTTACTTCAGCTCTCATGAGACCAGTAATTTTTGCTTGACGAAGGTATTTGGCAAGAAAATAATTCCACAATAACACATTTAAAGATACCTAGAACATTGAAAAAAATTCTCAAATTAAGATAATATAGCTTAATTCCCAAGAACTTATTTCATCTCTTTTGTTACTAATCTAGAAGGTCAGGAGTGTGGTAAAGGCAGTGTCTGATAAGGTTATGAGCTTCCAAAGAGTTTCTACATTTTTAGTGCAGACACTCTCCCTTTGGGGGCAAAGTACGGTTTCTCCCATCCCTATTAAAAAGAAAACAGTTAAACTAAGTTATCAGAATGAGATATTTTGACTCTTAACAATTTACACTCAAGGCTTTATGCTGAGTTGTCTTGTTCTAATCAAGCATGAAGGTGTCAAGCACAAAGCACGTGGCAAACGAAAGACACTCCCGCCTCATTCTGAAAACAAATACTGATAACCAACCCCACCCTCTTACCATTTCAGGCCAACCCATCTTATGATACTGGGACCAACTTGAAATAATTTAGAGGTATATTTAGGTTTCCCTCTCCCTTACTTCAGTAAAAGATCATTTTAGAATAACTTTATTCCTTTCCTAAGGGAAAGACAAAAAAGTTTCCATCCCGTCAGAACATACGGGGAGAGAAAACACACAGGCCCAGAGGTGGGAAGGTGTGTGACAGTCCATAACCCATTACACAACGATGCAACCAAAGGCTAAACCATGAGTTGAATATAGTTTTAATATTAAAAATAGGAACTAGTTATCATCCAAATGAACCACTGGAAAAAATATTACCATTACTTTAAAAAATACATTCCAATATTGGAAATAATCTGAAAACACTTTCCAGTAGTAACAATCCTCCTTAATATGAGGGACAAAAAAAAAGACCAGGCTTTGACCAAGTCCTTAGAGCATATTTCCATTTCATGATTTATATTCAAGAACCAAGCAACAAGCTGGACAGCTGCCTCTGTAACACTGTGTCCAATAGTGGTGTCCCAGATAGTTTAAGTGCCACTCGTCATTAGATGTTATACTTCAGCAATACTTCCAATTTTAAGTCTGTACTTTAAGAGGGACCCACAGGAACTCAGCACCAGGCAGAGCAGTGTAAGACTGGAAAAGAAGACTGAACTTTTGATTGGTCACTCACATGTTTTTTAGCGAGATACAGAATTACATTTACACTCTTTCCTTGCATTTCTTCTATATTAATGATCCCTCTTGCAGGAGGTGTAGGAGAAAGAATGCTGCGTCAGTACAAGAACAAGACTTTTTGGTCAAAAGTTGATACCGTTTAAATTCCCTCTCCCAGCGCTTCATGCAAAAAAAAAAAAAGGTTACTTCCTGAATTAAGGTTTGTATTTAGTAACCAACATTGACTGGACAGAACATACGTGACTTGGATTCCAAATAAATGAGATTGCTCTTTTTTGGGTTTGTACTGTGCAGCTCTTGCCACAGTTGTTGAAGAGTTAGGGCTGTGTCTGATCAGGAGGCATCTGTAGGATTTTGATCTCCAAGGAATTGTGGGTGAGTCACATACACCTGGTGTATTACAGGTGGGCACCTGTAATCCCAGCTACTTGGGAGACTGAGACAGGGAGAATCTCTTGAACCCGGGAGGCGGAGGTTGCACTGAGCCAAGATCATGCCATTGCATTCCAGCCTGGGTGACACAGTGAGACTCTGTCTTGGGAAAAAAAATAGAAGTGGGCAGAGTCAAAAAAGCAACTTCAAATAATTAATCCCTTTGTCCATATGAGTTAAATACAAACGTGTATATTTTAGGTTTTTAAAAATCAATGCAATATGGGAATCAATTTTTTAAAAATTATTTTTTGCTTTTTTTTCTCCTCCCAGATGCCTTCTGATTGACCTAGTACACTGGGTTAAAAGGGAATTCAAAAACATTAAAAAAAAGTTCACTGGTTTTGATTCATCTCAGTCTTTTGGCCTGGAGATTAGGCCAAACATCAAGCATGTTGGGAGGGCAACAATTTAAAGCAACATTATTGACTGTAAAGCATTTGCCAGGAATTTACAGTACAAAATGACAGATAACAATTATTGTCATAACACAAGAGAATGGCAAGCAGCTTTGTGTGGTATGAAAGTTAAACAGTTCTCAGGGGTTGTCCATTCCTGCAAAAGTTTATGTATCAAGGTGGGCAGAAGGCAATACATTTACACACTACAGATGATCCATAGAAAATTAAGCTCCAGAACTCCTAACATCACCAAAGCTGGTACTGGCTAATACTATGAAATGCGAATCTGTGCTTTATGCATGTACTGCTCAACAATACTACCACTCAACAGAATCCCCACACTGCAAGGTAGATGCATGGTAGATTAATCTTTGCCCTCTTTTGGAGAGCTTGAAAAATTCCTTAAACTTTTAGAAAGGGTGAAGAAGCAAAATAAAAGAGCTTCTCAAAAAAAAAAAATCTTGAATTATCAATTTTTGACGCTTCGTTGCTCTCTCTGGTAAGCCTCCTCCAGGGGTACTAGATGAGACAGCGTGGGAGCAAACAGGACATCCCAGATTTCTGTGTCCCTTTCCTAACCAAGGGTACCATAGAAACCTGCTCTCTACAGCAAGAGGCCAAAGTGCTTTCTAGAATTTAGTGCTGAGTAAACTGAGCCCCTTCATCTTTAGCTGCTCCCATAATCACTCTAATCCCCTTAATCCCATCAACCTTTATCATATATATGTATATATACATATACACTTATTTACAAGGTTGATAAAAGTATACACACTCAATTTTCAACGCAACACACTCTGCCACAAAAGAAATAGGGTCAAGGTTCTGACATGTCTACAAGTCAAGTGCCATATTGTTACTGGAGACGTATGTAAACCAGTCTTTAGTGTTTGCTATAGAGCACAAAGGCTTGTCATAAGGCTCCTCCAATGATAGACTGCTTTTCCTTTGGGAGCATTGATGTTTTATCTACTCAGACCAGAATAAATTTTTACTTGGAATTATTATTATTTTGAGACGGAGTCTTGCTCTGTTGCCCAGGCTGGAGTGCAATGGCACGATCTCAGTTCACCGCAATTTCCGCCTCCCAGGTTCAAGCAATTCTCTTGCCCCAGCCTCCCAAGTAGCTGGGATTACAGGCACCTGCCACCACGCCTGGCTAATTTTTTTGTATTCTTAGTAAAGACAGGGTTTCACTGTGTTGGTCAGGCTGGTCTCAAGATCCTGACCTCAGATAATCTATCTGCCTCGGCCTCCCAAAGTGCTGGGATTACAGGCGTGAGCCACCATGCCCTGTTGGGATTTTTTTAATACATGTGTTTACAGTGTGGATGAACTGCAGCTGCATATCAACTCCTCCAATATAAAGAAAAAGAAAATGGTATTTAACTGACTAATAAGTTTCATCTACCAGCTCTGGGCTTCAGTATTGGGTAGAAAGAAAACAGAGACTTCACCCTAAAACCAAAATTAAAAGACAAAAATTTTTTAAAGAATAAAGGAAAGAAAGAGTACTACTGTTGATTCTTTGGTCTGTGTCTAAAAGATGATATTCTGAATAACTCAGAGCATACAGCACTTCACACAAATGAGTAATAAGCTCCTCAGGCTTAAAAAAAAAATGGATGACTAGGGAGAAGTTGAAATGTCCTCGAGAGTCAGATGTTGGAGAATTTTGAAATAATAGACAAGCTTTTGTGTTCATTAAGATTCTTCTCTTTTTAGGGTTTCTCCCCTTCTTTCTTTTCCTTTCCTGTCCCCTTTCCCCAGAAAACATTTTTTTAAAACCAGCAGTTAGTGCAACTAATGTTCACTTAGCATACAGTGCAAACAGATGGAACAAAAAAAAAGGAATATTCCTTCTTTTCAGCTTTTTTCTCTTCACCAGTTAAAAAAGGAAAAAAAAAATTCTGAACTCTTTTAAGTCTTCATAGTTCTGAAATAAAAGATGAAAAACTCACAAAGAGAAGAGCACTCCTCTCTAAAAAATGGTATGTCATAGATCCAAACAAGGCTTCCACAGTTTGTCAAAGAGTGCTTATTAAGGCTTCTCATTTTCTACAGCCTTGCTGTGGAATTCTGCCACATGCAGGCTCTTGTCAATGTTGCTTGGAATAGGTTTTATTTCTTTTCCCAGCTGCTCCTCAATACCTTTCAGGTTGAAGTGATCGCCATATGTGATCAAGTTGATGGCTAAGCCAAAATGGCCAAAGTGACCTGGTCTTCCAATATGACGGAGATAGGTCTCTTCTAGCTTTGAAAAGTCAAAGTTTATTACCACATTCACAGCTTGTATATCAATACCTCAAGTAAACAGATCAGTGCAAATGAGAATAAGCCATTTCAGAAATAATAAAATACACAATTTTGATGTTCCTGCCTCATTTTAGCATGAATGTAGAAACAAAAATAACCCAGTTGAGAAATTTTGGCTGGCCATTCAACTCGCTGAGAGCAGTTAAAGAAAATGATCATCTGGTTTAGCTGAAGCCTGGAGAAAAGTGTGGTGAGGCCGTGTACTTTTTGGTGCTCAGTTACATATGCGTAGTACTGGGTTATGTCCTTCAGAGTTAGTTTTTCCATCAGGTTAGTCTCAGGGTTTCTGCAAATGGGAATTCATGAACTTCTGTATACTAAGAGGGAAAGTAGCAGAATGTAGTAAAATCTGCCTGTCTTCAGGTAGCATGAGAATAATATCTTCCATTAACTGCCCAAAATCCTGGGACAGAAACTTATCTGCCTCATCCAATACTATCACCTGGACATGACTGACCTTTGCTACTCCTTTCTTAATAAGATTCAGGATTCTCCCAGGGGCAGCAATCACCATGTGCACTGTATCATCCAGCCTCAGTACGTCATCTCCTGAATTGGTTCCTCCTGTGGTCATCACCACTTTGACTCCTCCCATGTGTTTGCTGACCTGGATGCAAATTTGACTGACCTGTAGAGCAGGTCCTCCTGTGGGAACAATCACTATTGTTTGTATAGTGTCCTTCTTCAGGTCTAGCCTTTTAAGTAGGGGAATGTCATGGGCACTGCTCTTGCCTGTTCCATTTTTTGCTCTAGCTAAGATATCCCTACCAGATAAAGCAATGGGAATGCTCTCTTCTTGGAAAGGAGATGGCTTTTTCCATCCCATTTCAAAAATTCTCATCAGTAACTGCCGTTTCAAACAGTAATCTTCAAATTAATATCCTCTTGTAGAGGTCACATCCAACATTTTGATTCTTAGATCCTTTGGAAGGAGTTTTAAAGTCTTCTTCCAATTATCACCAGGCTTAATAGTGGTGGTCATACTCTGCGCTTGTGGTTGAGTGCTATTATTGTGTTGGTGTTTTTCAGCTGGTTCGTCTGTTGCTGTGTCTGTGTGGCCTCTCCTCTAGGGCCACCACTGGGTTTCAGGGGACCCCTCAGCTGACCATTTTGACTGGACAGACCCATTATAACAGCGTTCTCTGTTCTGGTTGTGCTCATGCTGTGTTAATTGCAAAGGTGTCTTTCAAACTTCAAAACGTTTGAAAGTCAATAGAGAAACTGTAATAATAGTTTATTAGGCTGTCCAAAGTGAAGAGATAAATATAGGTCTTGCTCAATAATTAAGTTCTTTTATTATAATGCAGGCAAGCACCCGTAAGTCTCTGAATGGTAAGCAGCAGTAACTTACTTTCTTGTACTGTATCAACTTTTAATTTTTAAAAGGCCCTCTTACCAGCTTCAATTATAGCTGAATTCACTTACTTCAATCACTGAGGCCACTCCTGTGCTGGACACTCTTGGTCCTTTATTGTTGACTGGAAACTCCCAAAATATTGCCACTCTTTCCTCTTTGGATACCTCAACCTGCACCTCCAGATATAATTTCTAAGATCAATTACTGAGACACACAAAGAAATCTGGTGAGATTTTACGTGGTTTAGAATAAAGTCCAAAGAGGCTGTTTGATATAGTGGTTTTTCCTACTTCTTTCTAGAACTCACAGATGAAAAAGAAAAATGCAGAAATATGAGACTCATTACCAAGTGACTCGTCAACACTCATATACTGATGTGTATTTTGTTTTGTTTGTTTAAAGACAGTCTTGCTATGTTGCCCAGGCTGGAGTGCCGTGGTGATTCACAGGTGTGATCATGGTTCACTACAGCCTCAGGCTCCTGGGCTCATCCTCCCACCTCAGCATACTGAGGAGCTAGGACTGCTGGCATGTGCCATCATACCCAGTTAAATTATATGTATTTTAATTAGGGTAGAACCCTTAGTTATTTCCAAAGCTATTTCTTATACTGTATTTAAAACTTAAACTTAATTCTAAAGAAAAGATAATGAATAAATGAATCCCTTTTTTTTGTTGAGATGGAGTCTCACTCTGTCACCAGCCTAGAGTGCAGTGGTGCAATCTCAGCTCACTGCAGCCTCTGCCTCCCGGGTTCAAGTGATTCTCCTGCCTCAGCCTCCTGAGTAGCTGGGACTACAGGACCGCGCACCACCACACCCAGCTAATTTTTGAATTTTTAGTAGAGATGTGTTTCACCATGTTGGCCAGGATGGTCTCTATCTCCTGACCTTGTGATCTGTCTGCCTCAGCCTCCCAACATGCTGGGATTACAGGCGTGAGCCACCGCACCCGGCCATAACTTATTTTTAATATCTCTTGACTGCAGCTGCTACCACAATTTGCATCTTCAAAATGGTTATGGAGGTTCAAGATGGCTGACTGGAAGCAGCTAGAGTATGCTACTCTCAAAGAGAGGAAAGAAAGTGGCAAGTAAATAGTAGCTCTTCAGGTGAATTCTCTAAGAGAGCATGTCAAGATTCACCAAGGAAGTGAGGGGGCTCACGAAGACCTCAGCACATTTTATCAGGAGCTTCTCCTAGCCACACCCATCAGGGCTGGTGCCTGCACCTGTCATTGAGATATTCGTGGGAAAGCCACGTTTCCAGCTCTGCCCAGGTATATCCCACCACCCTCACAAATTAGGAAGCTCAGAACACTGGACACCCACCCCACTGTCCAGTCCTTCACCTGAAACAACAGAGAGCACCTCACAGTAAATAAAGGTCAGCTCCCCTCCCACCTACTTGTGTGGCAGCTGACTCTTACCTGCAAATGCCATATCCTGAGTCATAGGTCAAACCACACAGCCCAACACAAAACCTGCTGACAGAAGTGCATAGGACTATAGAAACAACCCCAAAGACCCTACCTAGTACAACACTCTCCAGATGAGAAGGAACCAGCACAAGAATTCTGCCACCATTAAAAATCTGAATGGAATGACATCATCAAAGGCTGACTCTAGGTTTCCAGCAATGGTTCTTAACCAAAATGGAGGCAGGAGGATGACAGAGGAGGAATTCAAAGTATGGATTACAGGGAAACTCAATGAGATCCAAAATAAGGTTAAAAATCAGTACAAAGAAACCTGTAAAGCAATCCAGGAAATAAAAGAAGATGCAAACATCTTAAAAAGAAATCATTCAGAGCAATGAAAACTATAAAACTCACTTAAGGAATTTCAAAATACAATTGAATGCTTTCCCAATAGACTAGACCAAACAGAAGAAAGAATTTCAGAGTTTGAAGATTGGTCTTTCAAACTTACCCAGTCAGACAAAAACAAAGAAAAAAGAAATTTAAAAATTCTTAAAATTCTTGGCACAAAGTCTCCAAGACACATGGGTTGTGTAAAATGGCAAAACCTGTGAATGACTGGCATTAATGAGAGAGAAAAAGAAAAAGTAAAAAACATGGAAAACATATTTGAGGGAATAATTTGAGAAATTTTCCTTTATCTTGCTAGGGAAGTAGACATACAGATATAATAAATCCAGAGAAGACCTGCCAGATCCTATATAAAATGAACATCACCAAGGTATATAGTGACCAGAATGCCCAAGGTCAATGCTAAAGAAAAAACTTTAAAGGCAGCTAGAAAAAAAGGTTAGATCCCATACAAAGGGAATCCCATCAGGCTAACAGCAAACAGAGGAAACATTATAAACTTATTGGGGGCCTTCTCAGCAGAAATCTTATGGGGGACTTACATTCAGCATTTTTTAAGGAAGAGACTCCAACCAAGAATTTCATACAACACCAAACCAAGCTTCATAAGTTAACAAGAACTAAAATATTTTTCAGATAAGCAATAGCTAAGGGAAGTCATTACCACTAAACCAGCCTTACAAGAGATCCATAATGGATTTCTAAACATGGAAAGAATAATAACTGCTACTACAAAAACACACTTAACTACATAGTCCACAGACCCTATATGGCAACCACACAATAGAAACTACAAAGCAACCAGCTAACAACTTTACGATATGATCAAAATCTCACATATTAATATTAACCTTGAATGTGAATGGTCTTAACACCCTACTTCAAAGGCACAGAGTGGCAAGTTGGATAAAAAACAAGACTCACCCATCTGCTGTCTTCAAGAGACCCATCTTACACGTGATGACACTGATAGACTCAAGGTAAAGGGTAGGAGAAAGATCTATCACCCAAACAGAAGACAAAAAAGAGCAGGGGTTACAATTATTATTTCAGATAAAATAGACTTTAAAACAACAGTAGTCAAAAAAGGATAAAGAAGGGCTCTATGCAATGATAAAGGGTTTGATCCAACCACATGGCTTAACTATCCTGAATATATATGCAACTAAAATTGGAGCACCTAGATTCATAAAACAAGTACTGCTAGACCTACAAAAATACTTAGCCACACCATGGGAGTGGGTGACTTCAACATCCCATTGACAGAGTTAGATCATCAAGGCAGAAAACTAACAAAGAAATCCTGGAGTTAAATTCGACATTTGACCAATTGGACATAATAGACATCTACAGAACACTCCACCCAGCAACCATAGGATATACATTCTTCTCATTTGCATATGGAACATATGCTAAGATTGACCACATGCTTGGACATCAGGCAAGTCTCAATAAAGTTAAAAAATTCAAAATCATACAAACTATACTTTGGGCCATGGTGGAATAAAAATACAAATCAATACCGGTAAGTTCTCTCAAAACCACAAAATTACATGGAAATTAAATAACTTTATTCTGAGTAACTTTTGGGTAAACAATAAAATTAAGGCAAAAATTTAGAAAATTATTTAAAATAAATAAAAACAGAGATACAATATTTTATTTTTTATTTTTACTTTTTTATATACATATTTTATTATACTTTAAGTTCTAGGGTACATGTGCACAACGTGCAAGTTTGCTACATATGTATACATGTGCCATGTTGGTGTGCTGCACCCATTAACTCGTCATTTACATTAGGTATATCTCCTAATGCTATCCCTGCCTCCTCCGCCCACCCCACGACAGGCCCCGGTGTGTGATGTTCCCCTTGCTGTGTCCAAGTGTTCTCATTGTTCAATTCCCACCTATGAGTGAGAACATGTGGTGTTTGGTTTTTTTGTCCTTGCAATAGTTTGCTGAGAATGATGGTTTCCAGCTTCATCCATGTCCCTACAAAGGACATGAACTCATCATTTTTTATGGCTGCATAGTATTCCTTTGTATATAAATGCCACATTTTCTTAATCCAGTCTATCACTGATGGACATTTGGGTTG
The DNA here is from genome assembly GCF_000001405.40 of Homo sapiens. Lineage (NCBI taxonomy): Eukaryota > Metazoa > Chordata > Mammalia > Primates > Hominidae > Homo > Homo sapiens. The sequence goes on from NT_167246.2 coordinate 600,792, forward strand.
GTTCCAAGTCTTTGCTATTGTGAGTAGTGCTGCTATAAACATACGTGTGCATGGAGACACAATATTTTAAAATCTCTGGAATACAGCTAAAGCAGTGTTAGGAAAGCTTACATCACTAAATACCTACATCAAAAAATTAGAAAGATCTCAAATTAACAATCTAACATCACACCTAGAGAACTAGAAAAACAAGAACTAGTCCCAAAGCTAGAAGACAATAAATAACCAAAATTCATTAGAGAACTGAATGAAATTGAGACTCAAAAATACATGCAAAGTAATAACCGAAAGCTGGTTCTTGTCAACCAGATCAATAGGACACCAGCTAAATTAACAACAAAGAAAGAGAAGATCTAAATAAGTGCAATCAGAAATGGCAAAAGTGAAATAACAACCAATCCCACGGATATATAAAAAATCCTCAGAGACTATTATGAACACCACTATGCACACAAACTAGAAACTCTAGAGGAAATGAATAAATTCCTGGAAGGTCACAACACCCCAAGATTGAGCCAGGAAGAAATCAAAACCCTGGAGAGATCAATATAGAGTTCTGAAATTGAAAAACAAACCTACCAAATAAAAAGGGCCCTGAAACAGGTGGATTCATAGCCAAATTCTACCAGATGTACAAAGAAAAGCTGGTACCAATCCTACTGAAATATTTTTTAAAAATGGGGAAGAGGACTCCTCCCTAACTCATTCTACGAAGCCAGCATCACTCTGATACCAAAATCTAGTAAAGACACAACAACAAAAGAGAAAATTACAGACAAATATCCCTGATGAACATAGATGCAAAATTTCTCAATAAAATACTAGCAGATGGAATCCAGCAGCACATCAAAAAGCTAATTCACCACTATCATGCAGGCTTCACTACCAGTACGCAAGGTTGGTTCAACATATGCAAATCAATAAACATGACTTGCCGCATAAACAATTAAAAACAAAACCATTTAATCATCTCAATGAATGCAGAAAAAATGTTTTGATAAAATCCAACATCCCTTCATGAAAAAAATCCTCAACATACTAGGCATGGAAGAAACATACCTCAAGATAATAAGAGCCCACTATGACAAACCCACAGCCAACATTATACTGAATTGGCAAAAGCTGGAAGTGTTACACTTAAGAACTGGAACAGGCCAAGGATGCCAACTCTCACCATTCCTATTCAACATAGTGCTGGAAATCCTAGTCAGAACAATCAGGCAAGAGAAAGAAATAAAAAGCAACAAAATAGGAAAAGAGGAAGTCAAATTATCTCCTTGCTGACAATACGATTCTATACCTAGAAAACCTTAATGACTTTGCCAAAAGGCTTGTAGAGCTGATAAAAACTTCAGTAAAGTTTCAGGATACAAAATCAATGTACAAATCAGTAGTATTTCTATATACCAATAACATTGAAGCTGAATGCCAAATCAATAATACAATCCGATTCACAATAGCCACAAAAAGAATAAAGTATGTTGGAATCCACGTAACCAAAGCAGTGAATGATTTCTTTGAGGAAAACTACAAAATACTGAAGAAAGAAATCATAGAGGATACAAATAAATGGGGAAAAAAACCCATGCTCATGGATTGGAAGAATTTATATTGTTAAAATGACCATACTCTCCAAAGCAATCTACACGTTCAATGCTATTCCTATCAAACTACCAATATTGTTTTTCACAGAATTAGAAAAAATATTCTAAACTTCATTTGAAATCAAGAAAGAGCCCAAATAGCAAAAGCAATACTAAGCAAAAAGAAAAATACTGGAGGCATCATACTACCCAACTTCAAACTATATTACAAGGCTACATTAACCAAAACAACATGATAGTGGTACAAAAACAGACACATAGGCCAAATGGGAGTCTCTTAGCAACTACTTTACTAATATTAATTTGCTTATATTTTGAAAAAGAGTATGGACCATGTCACTAAGCTGTTATGAGTTACATAACTGGCATGTGAAGTTGGTTGGTGGAGAGGAGAGACTGTGCTTCTATGGAATACAACCTCAGACTGCACTCTGATCCTAATCTCTGTCATGGCCCTATCAATCACGAGCCATCTCCGAGACTCATTCTGGCCAGACATTTAAAATACATTTTTCAATGGAAGTATTCAAACTACAGTAAAATAGGAGAATCAGGTGGAATAGTGGAACCAACTGCTTATAAATTTACTGTACACATAAAAATCATCTCTTCAAATCACCATGCCACCTCTTACTAAATGTGACTAAAGGTTTCCAGAAGCTAGGGAAAGTTCTTTAGCCTTTCTGTGGCTTTGTTTCACCATATTTAAAAAGCCCCACACATGAAGAATTATGCAGCCCAAAATGTCAATTGTTCTTCTGTTGAGAAACCCTGAACTAGGTGCACTGTGACTTAAGAAAACTACTCCAACGCAAAGACAGATAAATGTGTTCATATAATTTTTAACTTCCAAGTTTAGGGATATTACAGCCAACATGGAAGTAAGGATAAGTTGTTGGTTAAAGAGAAGTTGTTGATCATTCATTCTATATTAGATGTAAAGAAATGAAAAATAAGGAGTGGGAAAGGCTACCCATTCACTCTGCCTATTGAAATCAGGCTTCTACCTGTATCTCTGTACCAGAACTTTTCTGGTCAGGGGCAATAATAACTTCCTTGCATTTAGCAACAGTTTCATGAGTGGACCTAATTTTTAACAATACTTTAAATATTTGAACTTGATTATAGACTGAAGTAAGATAGAAGAGTGGTTGGAAATACAGAGAATGGCATTAGATGAACTTATCTAATGCTTTATGTTTCTTCTGTGGAACAGAAGGTGAGACTGTCTGCCAAGCATGAAGGGAGTGTGGGTAAATTAATGAAGGAAAGATGAATGTTTAAAACAGTTCCTGAAGGAAATAGGAGATGGCAGTAACCATAACAAATAAAGTAAGAGAAAAGTAAGATTGCTATTAATTTTAAACAACATCAGAGTGTGTGAGTGTGGAGTTTTCTCCAGATTTTCTGAACCGTATGTATAGAAAATACTGGATGCTGTTTTGGAGTATTCCCTGGAGATGTGGCTAGAGGATAAATGTGTTATGAAGTTGGAAGTCCCAGAAATAAATTGCAAATTTTTTTCCTCTGGCTTACTGTTCTAGCCCTTTACAGACATAGAGGTCTGGCTCTATAGGGACATAAGTACAGTTACAAGGAACTGAAAGACTTACGGAAAGTGGGCAGTTAAGAAACTGAAAGTATCTTTGAAGCCAAAGAAATGAAAAAGATGTAGAGAAAAAAGACACATATCATATGATTTTACTTGTATTATTACATTAGGGAAAAGAAAAAAACTATAAAGATGGAAACAAATTTATGGTTACCAGAAGCTGGAGTCAGTGATGTGTTGTTTATAAAAAGGAATGGGAGGATTTGGGAGGTGACAGAATTGTTTTATATCTTGCCTGTGTCTATAGTTGCATGATTATATGTGTTTGCCAAAAGTCAAGTAATTATATGCTAAAAAAGAGAATGTTAACTGTCTATAAATTATACATTTATAAAATAAATTGGAATGAGAGAAGTAATGGGAGAATGGCAAAGAGCATACTCCAATACCAAACAAAAGACTATGAAGGTGGGATATAGTCTTAGAGTAGACATGTAGGTAATCTTCATGATGTGATCATAACATCTGCACTACCTTTGTAACTTTCATATTAACTGTTGCACTTACTACATTGTATTCTAATTATCTGGTGTATGTGTTTCTCTCTTTATAAGGTGAATGATTTGAAGGTGGGGAATTGAGACTTGACCTGATACACAATTGAATTTTTGATATCTGGATTATGCCACAATGTCTTGTATTAGGTTGATGATCAACAATAATTTTAAAAAGAATAAAAAAGGAGTGGAGGTCAAGGAGGTCTGAGGTTAGTGTGGGGAGGCAAGATAATCTACCTAATATTGATTGTGGCAGCATGATGGTCAGTGGGAAGGTTGCATCATCAACATAGATGCCTGGGTGATGGCCATATTTGATACTGGAGAGAAGAAACTGGTATGGGCACCCAATATGCAGTTAGGAACATGCCTGGAAAATAAGCATATGAGCAAAATAAGAAGATGTAGAGAATTTTTGTGGTAAGAAAATGACCTCAAAGTGCAAGATATTTTATATGAAAGAGAAGAAGTAACAGTCAGAAAAAAAATAAGAAACTTAGAGAATACAGACCTTGATCCTACCCACCTCCTCAAACTGTGAGAGAAGGAGCAGCTTTGAATTGAAGAATAAGAGAAATAGCTTTTGGGAGAAGAACCAAATGTCAATGACAACACAGAAATATCAGGAGTAGGTAGTGGTATTGGAGAGCTTTTTCATAGTAGTGCTAGGGTTCTAAGGAATTTTATTAGTGAGCAAAGAATTCAAAAAGAAACATTCCAAAATGTAAGAATGACAGCATGGGCCGGGCGCAGTGGCTCACGCCTGTAATCCCAGCACTTTGGGAGGCCGAGGCGGGCGGATCACGAGGTCAGGAGATCGAGACCATCCCGGCTAAAACGGTGAAACCCCGTCTCTACTAAAAATACAAAAAATTAGCCGGGCGTAATGGCGGGCGCCTGTAGTCCCAGCTACCTGGGAGGCTGAGGCAGGAGAATGGTGTGAACCCGGGAGGCGGAGCTTGCAGTGAGCCGAGATGGTGCCACTGCACTCCAGCCTGGGCGACAGAGCGAGACTCCGTCTCAAAAAAAAAAAAAAAAAGAATGACAGCATGGGATAGGAAAAGGTGGGATGACCTAAGTTAAAGAAAAGAAATTAACAATATGTTGCTTGAATTTATTTTTCTAGCGATAGAACTTTTGCAAATGAAAACACTTCTTCACCATGCACTTATGTACCTTTTGGTCCTAGAGAAGAAATAATTTATTTTCAAAGATGTGCTAACCTTGTGGGTTAATTGTTATTTAAATAACAACTATTTACTCATGAGAGAGAGTGACTTGCATGACATAAAAAATTTCATAATTATTTTTGTAAGTAAGAGAAACATACAGTTTCACTTTGCTTTACAAAACAGTCTTTTGGGTAACAGTGTATAAATTACTTATACTCCAAATCACGGTTGCCACACACAACAATAACATTATTTAAAACAACTTTTTTGTAAATCATTTTGTAAAATGGAAAAAAAAGAACATGTTTGCATTAGGTGCTTCCTGCAGATAATAAAAACAAAATGGAATTTATTTTTCCCTCAGATGTGTTTGACATGTGATAAAGGTAATTCTCACATAAGAAATATTGTAGAGTGCTTACAAAGAATATATAAATCATAAGAATAAATCAAACACAAGTCACTAGAACTTGTATTGCCATATTAATATAATTATTCCAAAATAAAAGTTAATCTATAGTTTCCTAAAAAAGATGACCTTTGAAAAGGACAAAAGAGAAATATTACAGCTACGTGAACTGGCATTTTGAATGTTGATATGGTTTGGTTCTGTTTCCCCACCCACATCTTACAACTCGAATTGTAATCCCCAAGTGTCGAGGGACGGAGGTGATTGGATCATGGGGGTGGTTTCCCCCATGCTGTTCTCATGATAGTGAGTGAGTTCTCAAGAGCTCTGATGGCTTTATTAGTGTTTGGAAGTTCCTCCTTCACTCTTCTCTCTCCTGCCACCATGTGAAGAAGGTTCTTGTTTCCCCTTCACTTTCTGCTATAATTGTAAGTTTCCTGAGGCATCCCCAGCCATGCAGAACTGTGAGTCAATTAAGCCTCTTTCTTTTATAATTACCCACTCTCAGGTAGTATTCTTTATAGCAATGTGAAAACGGACTAATACAAATGTCTTACCCCAAATTAAGTTTGATTATTTTTTCTTTTTTTAAAAAAACAGCTTTATTGGGAGTATAATATACAAAGAATTGCACATACTTAATATGTACAAGTTGATGAGCTTTGACATATACAAATATCCATGATACCATTACCACAATCAAGGTAATAGACGTATCTATCACCTTCCAAAGTTCCGTTGCATCCCTTTGCTTTTTTTTTTTGTTTTTTTTTTTATAAGAACACAACATGAGATTTACCCTCTTAGCAAATTTTGAAGTGCACAATACCTATAGCCACTATGTTGCACAGTAGAGCTCTTATTCATCTAGCATAACTGAAACTGTATACTCATTGGAAAACAATTTCCCTATCTCCATTTCCCCCATCCCCTACCCTTGGCAATAACTTTCATTCTCTACTTCTAGAGGCTAAATGTTACAGGTCCTCACATAAGTGGACTCATGGAGTATTAGTCTTTCTGAGAGGCTTATTTCACTGAGCATAGTGCTCTCCAGGTTCATCCATGTTGTTGCAAATGGAATAAACTTTTTATTTTTAAAGGATGATTTTGCATTTTCAAACTAAAAAATTGGAATACCTCTCACTCTATTTGTTTGAAAATAGGCAGGATACATAGGTCCACAATCATGCTCACTGTACTCATAACCCCACCTTTTTACCAGCTATCTATTGTCGTTTGATTTCAATTAACAGTTAGATTTGAGTGAGGCTTGAATAGGATGATCATGAGAATGGTTCTAGCATGTGAGTCTGAGTAGCTATCAAGGTTTCCAATTACCTTGAAGCAGGACTTAACTCTCGGTCATATCACTTTTGTGTACGTATATAAAAACACAAATACATAAATAAAAATCAATGAGACTTATTTCATGGAGTTGTTTTTTTTTTTTTTTTTTGCTGTAGAATAGTAATATATTTGTTTATGTCATGAAGTACACACCAGGAGATTGGTAATGGAAAACAACTGGTAAATTAGATATTAAAATTTTGATATATCATTTCAAAACCAAACCAGATTAAAATTTAAAAAGCATATAATTTTCATTTGAATTAAATGACATTATCTGCAATTTTCAACAAGATAAAAGTATACATCCTCTGCCCAACTAGTAACATGAGAATATCCTTGCATAATGTACCTCTGCCCCATATAATATTTTACTTAGTTATGTATGCAGTCTAGTATCATTGAGCAGATGATACTTTCATGCATTTTAGAAAATAAAACATATGAAAGCTATACGATGGAATATTTTTCTCATATTGATGTGGCAAACATTTATTTACCACATCAATTCATTTCCTCCAAATAAAAACTGATACTAGTTTCTTGATACAGAAAAAGCAGAGGACTTGGATAGAGGGAATAACAGTCACTAATTTGACTGTACCTGTATTAGTCCATTCTCACACTGCTATGAAGAAAAATACCCCAGGCTGGATAATTTATAAAGAAAAGAGGTCTAATGAACGCATGGTTCTGCATTGCTGGAGAGGCCTCAGGAAACTTACAATCGTGGCAGAAGGTGAGGGAGAAGCAAAGACACGTCTTACAGGGTGGCAGGCAAGAGAGCTTGTGCAAGTGTAGAAAAAACTACCAGTCATAAAAACATCAGATCTTGTGAGAATCCACTCACTGTCATGAGAACAGAATGGGGAAACCACCCCCATAATCCAATCACTTCCCACCAGGTCTCTTCCACAACACCTGGGGATTACAATTCAATGTGGATTTGAGTGGGGACACAAAGCCTAACAATATTAGTACCAAATGCAATCCTAGATGAACTCCTAGAGCAGGAAATTTTAAATATAAGTTTTGAATGGAAAGACAGCTGTAGAGGAAGAATATGATTTCTCAAAGAACTATTATAAGTGTCCTGTTCTTGTCTAAAGTAATTCTTCCCTAACACAGAATCTCACTTCCTATAGGTTCTTAAGCATGATGATACATGTTTTGTGGCTGAAATAACCTAATGAAATATTCCAATACACAATTTTATTACATATATATGTTACTAATTTGTACATAGCTTTATAAGTATATATACAAGTATACATAAGTTTATAATATGCATCTAGCTTTTCAAAACTACATGAAAAGAATCTATGAAAGATATAGTAACAAAAATCAAACATAAGGCTATGTATACAACAGTAAATTGAATTCATAGATGACAAATTTATACTATAATTCACAAATAGCAATAAATAGTAGAAAAGCATGATCTCATATTATAAAACTGAACAAAATTAATTTTAAATGCTACAACATAAATATCAAGTGGAAAAAAGCTTCCGTTTTACAAGATGAGGCACATTCTTTACAGTTGTATGTTACTTGGATTAGTATTTTAATTTGTAATTTAAATAGAACTTTCAATATGGTAGACTACTGTAATGATGATCCAGTATATCAGAATAGTGAATTAAATAAAACAAGAGAATAAGTGAATGGGTGGCTATGTGAATATATACTGTACATACATAGTCCCCAGGGTGAATGAGAACTGGAACTTTGCTAATACCAACTCTCTCCCTTGCCTCTCTCTCTGCCCTCTCTCTATGTATATACATTTGTATTAACAAGAACCCAGTTCTCATTCATTCTGGGGTAAGGGGCTTTCAGAGAAAAGGTAAACACCCTTGAGGCTTTCTGAAATGTCTTCTTTTTTTAATAGTAATGACCCTTTCTCCTTTACAGTTGAGTGTGGTGCTTTGCATGAAGTCACCCATCTCTTTCCCTAAGGAGGCCAACTTTGAAGGATAGACTTTGAAGAAAGTTTATCTCAGTGCTGTTTGTTAAGTGGCTTACCCCAAGAGGCCTCTTGCAGAAGTAATTGTTAAAACCATGAGGCACACCTGAGAGAAAGGCGCCAGGGACTACCTAACAAAGCTGGCACCTCTGGAGACACTTTGGAAGTATTTAATACATATGCCCTGATGGAGCATCTTACTCTTCAAAGAAAACAGTTTTGAGGCACCTAAGCAATTATGTACTTATTGACTTTGCGAAAACATTTATAACATCTTAACAATACAATTATCTGTAAGCTTTCTAATGAGCCCCCAAGTGACCTACTAGTGGAACAAAAACTTTCTTGATAAGAGCCAGTTTCCAAGAGACCATTTTTAATTGTATGAAAACTGAAAAATGATGGTGTTAAGAAGCTGCTGTTAGCTCTGTGTAAACTGTGTGGACTCTTTGCCAGTACAGCCCTCAGTGAACACACATCTTTAATAGAAATTAGCAATTGCTATAACCTGTAGTCTTAGAAGAAAATAAATACTGTAGAGGCCTCCAAAGTTATTCTAGTTACCTACTCTCTATATTGGGAGACAGAATTCAAACTCCAAAATTTCAAATTCTTCTTTGTTTTATGTCTAAGTGGGTTAGAATAATCTAATAAAATACTCCCAATAAACAAATCAATCCTGCATTCTTTTTAAATGTTCTGTGAAAGCAATAAACCTTGTAGCTAATTTTCAGTATGGCATATACACCAGTTAACAATACATCTTTTAGAATCAGATGGTGTGAGTTTGAACAATGAACCACCAATTGTTAGGTATGTGACTTAAAGAAAGCTAGTTAATTTGGTGGCTCAGTTGTAAAAAAGATGGTAATAGTATCTCTCACATGTGGCATGTTAAATGGGTTAATATATATTAACTACATTAAATAACATCACATATAAGCGTGGAAGAGATGTTAGTGCTCATCATTCAGCCACCCTAGTAACGATGTATTATTTTCTATAGTTATTTCAAAAAATACTTTTGTATTTTTGTTTTTAAAAATTATTTTTATTTTATAGAAGAGAAAATTCAGATTAAAGAAACCATAACTATCTTGACTAAGATTGCACTGGTATTTATCAGTAGTGTTCAACTTCAAATGCACATCTTCTGATTATGAGAATGGTGGTTCTTCCATCACCTTATAGCTATTTCCACATCCATTTACAATTCAAGCTCTTCCAATACTGGAAGTGTTAAAAATGGGATGGAAAACTGTAACTGGAAGAAATAAACACTGACTATTTTGTTTCACTTAAGGTTAATCAAATTTCAAAATGCACATTCTTTTTCCCATTACGGTGGTATAAGTAACTCATTCTGTCTCTTCCCCTGAGAAAGTTAAAATTGTCCCTGATTGCATGTGGTATATTATTGTACATAAAAGCTATAAAGAATTTATCAAAAAACTGTTAGAAATAATAAATGAATTCAATAAGGTTGCAGGATACAAATCAACATATAAAAATTATTTCCATACACTAACAACAATCTAAAAAAGAAATCAAGAAAACAACCCCACTTACAATAGCTACAAAAAAAAGAAAAATAACATACTTAAGAATTAACATAACCAAGGAGGTTAAAGATTTGTACACAAAAAAACTATAAAGCATTGATTAAAGTAATTGAAAAAGACACAAATAATTGGAAAAACATCCTATGGATATATCCTGCAAATTGGAAGAAATAATATTGTTAAAACGTTCATGCTATTCAAAGTAATCTACAGAGTCAGCATAATCTCATCAAAATATCGATGACATGTTTCACAGAAATGGGAAAAAATCCTATAATTCTATGGAACTAAAAAAATAACCCAAGTAGCCAAAGCAATCTTGCAAAAAATGAACAAAGCTGCAGGTATTATACTACCTGATTTGAAAATACACTCCAAAGCTAAAGCGATTAAGACAGCATGGTACTGGCATAAAAACAGACAGAAAGACCAATGGAAAAAAATAAAGAACTCAGAAATAAATGTATGCATTTACAGTCCATTGATTTTTGACAAAAGTGCCAATAGCACACAATGGAGAAAAGACAGTTCCTTCAACAACTAATGTTGGAACAATTGGATATTTGCATGCCAGTAGAATGAAATTGGACCCTAATCTCACACAATATTTTTTTAAAAAACTGAAAATGGATTAAAGACATTTGGATTAAATGTGTAATTTGAAATTGTAAAAATACTAGAAGAAAATATTGGGGAAAAAGTTCCATGACATTGATCTGGGAAAGACTTTTTGGATATGACCTTGAAAGTACTGGCAATAAAGCCAAAAAGAGACAATTTTGACTACATCAAACAAAAATGCTTCAGCACAGCCAAGCGAACAATCAACTGAGTGAAGAGACAACCTTTGTAATCGGCCAAGCACACATCTGTTAAGAGGTTACTATTCAAAATATATATTACAAATAACCCAATTAAAGAAAACAAATAACCTGGTTACGATCAAATGACCTGAAGAGACATTTCTCAGAAGAAGACATGCAAATGGCCAACAGGTATATGAAAAAATACTAAATTAATAGTCAGCAGAGAAAGGCAAATGAAAACCACAATGAGATATAACCTTATATCTGTTAGAATAATTAATATTAAAAAGACAAAAGGTAACACATGCTGATAAGGATGTCAAGAAAAAGGAACTCTTCCGCACTGTTGATGCGAATGTGAGTAAGTATAGCCATTATAGAAAATAGTATGAAAGTTCTTTAAAAAATTAAAAATAAAACCACCATATGATCAAGGAATCCCATTACTTGGTATATATCCAAGGAAATGAAATCAGCATATCAAAGAAATATGTGCACTCCAATGTTTATTGCAGCACCATTCATAATAGCCAAGACATGGAATCAACCTAAGTGTTCATCAGCGGATGAATGGATAAATAAAATATGGCATATGTACACAATAGAATACTATTCAGTCTTAAAAAAGAAGCAAATTCTGTCATTTGTGACAACATGGATGAACCTGGAGAACGTTATTTTAAGTGAAGTAAGCTAGGAACAGAAAGACAAATGCTACATGATCTCACATTATGCAGAATTTTTAAAAGTTGAAATCATAGAAATAGAGAGTAGAATTGTGGTTACTAGGGGCTGGGAGGGGATGTGGTGGGGAGATGTTGGTAAATGGATACAATATTTCAGTTATATAGGAGAAATAAGTTCAAGAGATCTATTGTACAACATGGTGACTGTAGTTAATAACGTTTTGTATTCTTGAAAATTGCCAAAAGAATAGATGAGTTTTCTCACCACAAAAAAGTATGTGAGGTATTGCATACGTTGATTAGCCATTTCACAAGGTATACATATTTCAAGACATCATGTTGTACATGATAAATATAATTTTTATTTGCCAACTATAACAATAAACGAATAATAGTGTATGACAGGTAAAAAAAGATTGTAAGCAAATTATTTTCTTATATTACAAAGAAAAACAAACCTTTGATTCCTTTGATTTAAAACCTCATCAGTTTTTAACTTCCAAATCCACAGGTGTACCTACCATTTCTGCCTTCATTTCTCTAACTGTGGTGAACTCCTCCGGCTATGCTCAGTATGGTAACTGCTGCTGCTTTCTCAGGTGTATAATGCCAATGACTATTGGCTCCCTTTTCTGTTTCTTTATCCTCACTTCGCACAGTTCTTACTGTCCTTCCTTTTCTGTTTTGAGAAAACAGGGCTCAAATTGTCTGTGAACCTCTCTAGTGGTATTGAAATGGGAAAAGTTCCCTTGTCCCCCTCGCAGGGCATGCGATGGGGATGTGGCTCGCTTTTTCAGGGCCCCACTGCTCAAACAACTAGGGGAGCTTACAGACAGGCAGACTGTGGAGCTCCAACCCCATGGCAGTGTTTAGGGGTGAATGTTTGCAGCTTCTGAAGCCCCAGTGGGCGTGTGTTACAGGGTGCTCTTAATTTGCTGTCTACAGGTGGCTTGTGTTAGCCCAATTAGACCTTCTACCTTGTCCGAGGACAGAGGGCTTTCTGTATCCCAGGGTTTCTTGCCTTGGTGTACCGGGAGAATTAGATCACACGTGGGCTTGGAGAATTAGTGTAAAGCTTTATTGAGTGGAAGTAGCTCTCAACTGATGGGGGAGCCAGAAGGGAAATGGTCTTCCCCTGGAGTTGGGCCACTCGGCCTTGCTCTCCTCTGCCGCGGCCAAACTCCACCTCCTCCCACCAGCTGATGGCCTGCTGGTATGCTGGTGCCTGTCTGTGTGCTCTTCTGCCTGCGTGCTCCTCTTGACATCCTCTCGAGGACCAGCCGCTTGCATCTTCTTTCGCCAATGTACTCCTCTGGACATCTGGCCACCTGTGTGTCTGCCTGCTGGGGCCTCGGGTTTTTATAGGCCAAGGATGGGGGCATGGTGGGTCAGGGTGGACTTTTGAAATGCAACATTTGGGCGAAAAAGCAGGAGTGCCTGTCCTCACCTAGGTCCGTGGGATGGAGCCCTAGTCAGGGAACACACCTTCCTCTACCCAGCACTTCTCTTCTCCCCTTTTGTATCATTTAAAGGGACCACGTTCTTCCCTTCCCAGCACTCCCTTATCAGTATGCTAGCATATTGCTTTTGGGATTCACTTCTCTAGGTTTTATTGTGTGTATTTTACTTTTTTTGTTTTTAATGTTTCTTTACTTATTTTCTTTAGTATACTGAAACTGAACAGCCTTAGATGTAACAAAATGCTATATTTGTTCAGAGCTGTGAGTTAATCATTGGAAGAGCATCAGAAAGTAAAGAAAACGAATGGGATATAAACAGAATGTGAGAATTGCAGTGGCATTGATAAAACAGATGGCAACTGATTTTGATTAAAGGGTTATGAGTTTGAATTAAAACAAAATATGGCGTGAGATTTGGTTGAATTTAGAATAGAAGTAAAAGCTGCAGATAAATAAAGTGAAAGTCAGTGGTACATGGTTAATATTTAAAGCAAAAAAAAAGTGAAAGAGGTAGACTACATTGAGACAGAAGAGCATGTTGTCAAAGTATGAGGCTTGGATGTTTCCCACTTTGGAAATATTTGATGAGAAATACGTGTTGACCAAAAAAAATTTTTTATCATCTAATAAGCAAATGTGTCAGAAAATTTTGACTTAAAATAATATTTGCAACCAACTAAATTATATCATTCATTATCTCTACTTATTCATCTATTCTGTGAACATAATATTCTGGAATAATATTCTATGGTGAATGAAACAAACTATGGGATGTGAGAAATACTAAAACGTATACTTCCTGTAAGATGTGTGTTAACTGGGAGCATAAAAAGTAGTAAGAAAGCAAAAACTTTCATGCACAAACCCTCTAGGATGTTCAATGTCATGGTAGTTTTATGGTATGTTTATATATATTTTAAATTTTATTTTATTTTAGGTTCCAGGATACATGTGCAGACGTGCAGGTTTGTTACATAGGTAAACGTGTGCCATGGTGATTTGCTGCACCTAACCACCCATCACCTAGGTATTAAGCCCTGCATGCATTAGCCATTTGTCCTGATGCTCTCCCACCCTCCACCCGCCGACAGGCCCTGGTGTGTGTTGTTCCCTCCCTGTGTCCATGTGTTCTCTTTATTCTACTCCCACTTATTAGTGAGAACATGCGGTGTTTGGTTTTCTGTTTCAGTTACTTTGTTGAGGATGATGGCTTCCAGCTTCATCTATGTCCCTGCAAAGGACATGATCCCATTCCTTTTTATGGCTGCATAGTATTCCATGATATATATGTACTACATTTTATGTATTCTATCATTGATGGGCATTTGGATTGATTCCAAGTCTTTGCTATTGTGAATAGTGCTGCAATAAACATATGTGTGTGTATCTTTATAATAGAATGATTTATATTCCTTTGGTTATATACCCAGTAATGGGATTGCTGGGCTAAATGGTATTTCTGGTTCTAGATCCTTGAGGAATTGCCACACTGTCTTCCACAATGGTTGAACTAATTTACATTCCCTCCAACAGTGTAAAAGTGTTCCTATTTCTCCACAGCCTTGCCAGCATCTATTGTTTCTTGACTTTTTGATAATTGCTCTTCTGACTGGCATAAGATGGTAGCTCATTGTGGTTTTAATTTGTATTTCTCTAACAATCAGTGATGTTGAGCTTTTCTTCATAATTTGTTGGCTGTGTAAGTATCTTCTGAGAAGTGTCTGTTCATATCCTTTGCCCACTTTTTGATGGGGTTATTTGTTTTATTATTGTAAATTTGTTTAAGTGCCTTGTAAATTCTGGATATTAGACCTTTATCAGATGGGTAGATTGCAAAATTTTTTTCCCATTCTTCAGGTTGCCTGTTCACTCTGATGGTAGTTTCTTTTGGTGTGCAGAAGCTCTTTAGTTAATTAGATCCTGCTTGTCAATTTTTGCTTTTGTTGCAATTGCTTTTGACAATTTCATCATAAAATTTTTGCCCATGCCTATTCTCTGAATGGTATTACCTACATTTTCTTCTAGGATTTTTATCGTTTTAGGTTTTACATTTAAGTCTTTAATACATCTTGAGCTAATTTTTGTATAAGGTGTAAGGAAGGGGTCTAGTTTCAGTTTGCTGCATATGGCTAGCCCATTTTCCCAGCACCATTTATTAAATAGGGAATCATTTCCCCATTGCTTGTTTTTGTCAGGTTTGTTGCAATTCAGATGGTTGTAGATGTGCCGTCTTATTTCTGATCTGTTGGTCTATGTGTCTGCTTTGGTACCAGTACCATGCTGTTTTGGTTACTGTAGCCTTGTATTATAGTTTGAAGTCAGGTGGCATTATGCCTCCAGCTGTGTTCTTTTTGCTTAGGATTGTCTTGGCTATACAGGCTCCTTCTTGGTTCCATATGAGTTTTAAAGTAGCCTTTTTTTTTTAATTCTCTGAAGAATGTCAATGGTAGTTTGATGGGAATAGCACTGAATCTATAAATTACTTTGGACAGTATGGCTATTTTCACAATATTGGTTCCTCGTATCCACAAGGATGAAATGTTTTTCCATTTGTTTGTGTCCTCTCCTAATTCCTTGAGAAGTGGTTTGTAGTTCTCCTTGAAGTCTTTCACATCCCTTGTTAGCTGTATTCCTAGGTATTTTATTCTCTTTGTAGCAATTATGAATGAAGGTTCATTCATGATTTGGTTCTCTGTTTGTCTATTGTTGGTGTATAGAAATGCTTGTGATTTTTGCACATTGATTTTGTATCCTGAGACTTTGCTGAAGTTGTTTATCAGCTTAAGGAGATTTTGGGCTGAGACGATGGGGTTTTCTAAATATACAATGTCATCTGCAAACAGAGACAATTTGATTTCCAGTCTTTTTATTCAAATACGCTTTATTTCTTTCTCTTGCCTGATTGCCCTGGCCAGAACATCCAATACTATGTTGAATAGGAATGGTGAAAGAGGATTTCCCTGTCTTGTGATAGTTTTCAAAGGGAATGCTTCCAGCTTTTGCCTATTCAGTATGATATTGGCTGTGGGTTTGTCATAAATAGCTCTTATTATTTTGAGATATGTTCCATCAATACCTAGTTTATTGAAAGTTTTTAGTATGAAGGGATGTTGAAATTTATCGGAGGCCTTTTCTGCATCTATTTAGATAATCATGTGGTTTTTGTCATTGGTTCTGTTTATGTGATGAATTGCATTTATTGATTTGTGTCTGTTGAACCAGCCTTCATCCCAGGGATGAAGCCGACTTGATTGTGGCAGATAAGCTTTTTGATGTGCTGCTGGATTTGATTTGCCAGTATTTTATTGAGGATTTTCACATTGATGTTCATCAGAGATATTGGCCAGAAGTTTTCTTATTTTGTTCCGTCTCTGCCAGGTTTTAGTATCAGGATGATGCTGGGCTTATAAAATTAGTTAGGGAGAAGTCCCTCCTTTTGAATTGTTTGAAATAGTTCCAGAAGGAGTGGTACCAACTCCTTTTTGTACCTCTGGTGGAATTCGACTGTGAGTCCATCTGGTGCTGGGCTTTTTTTGGTTGTTAGGCTATTTATTACTGCTTCAATTTCAGAATTTGTTATTGGTCTATTCAAGGATTTGAATTCTTCCTGGTGTAGTCTTGGGAGGGTGTATGCATCCAGGAATTTATTCATTTCTTCTAGATTTTCTAGTTTGTTTGCATGAGATATTTATAGTATTCTCTGATGGTAGTTTGTATTTTTATGGGGTCAGTGGTGATATGCCCTTTATCATTTATATTGTGTCTATTTGATTCTTCTCTTTTTTCTTCTTTATTAGTCTAGCTAGCAGTCTATTTTATTAATGTCTTCAAAAAAGAAACAACTTCTGGATTTATTGATTTGCTGAAGCATTTTCTTGTGTCTGTCTCTTCTTCAGTTCTTCTCCGATCTTAGTTATTTCTTGTTTTCTGCTAAATTTTGGATTTATTTGCCCTTGCTCCTCTAGTTCTTTTGTTGTGATGTTAGGGTGTCAGTTTGAGTTCTTTCTAGTGCTACAAATTTCCCTCTAAACATTGCTTTAGCTGCATCCCAGAGATTCTGGTATGTTGTCTCTTTGTTCTTATTGGTTTCAAGAATGGTTTAGTTTCTGCCTTAATTTCATTATTTACCTAGAAGTCAGTCAGGAGCAGGTTGTTCAATTTCCATGTCATTGTTGGTTTTGAGTGAGGTTCTTAATCCTGAGTTCTAATTTGATTGAACTGTGGTCTGAGAGACTGTTTGTTATGATTTCAGTTCTTTTGCATTTGTTGAGGAGTGCTTCACTTCCCATTATGTGATCGATTTTAGAGTAAATGCCACGTGGCACTGAGAAGAATGTATATTCTGTTGTTTCAGGCTGGAAGGGCTTGCAGATATCTATCAGGTTCACTTGATCCAGAGCCAAGTTCAAGTCCTGAATATCCTTGTTAGTTTTCTGTCTTGATGATCTGTCTAATGTTGAGAATGGGGTGTTAAAGTCTCTTAGTATTATTGTGTGGAAGTCTACGTCTCTTTGTAGCTCTCTAAGAGCTTGCTTCATGAATCTGGGTGCTCCTGTATTGGGTGCATATACATTTAGGATAGTTAGCTCTCCTTGTTGAAGTGACCCCTTTACCATTATGTTATCCCCTCCTTTGTGTTTTTTATCTTTTTTGGTTTAAAGTCTGTTTTATCAGAAACTAGGATTACAATCCTTGCTTTTCTCTACTTTCCATTTGCTTGGTAAATTTTTTCCATCCCTTTATTTTGAGCCTATGTGTGTCCTGGCACATGTCAAGGATCTCCTGAATACAGCACACTGAGGGGTCTTGACTCTTTATCCAATTTGCCAGTCTGTGTCTTTTAATTGGGTCATTTAGCCCATTTACATTTAAGGTTAATATTGTTATATGTGAATTTGATCCTGTCATCATGATGCTAGCTGGTTATTTTGCACACGAGTTGATGCAGTTTCTTTATAGTGTCATTGATCCTTGTATTTCAGTGTGTTTTTGCAGTGGCTGATACTGGTTTTTCCTTTCTGCCCCCCATGTTCATATATTTATTCAGGAGTATTTACCACCTATGATAGGCCAGGAATTATTCTCTTCTTGGCCCTAAAGATAAAGAGGTGAACAGGATACATAATTCTGATAATAATAACTTTAGATAACTGCTATGAAATGAAAGACAGAGTGGAGTTATCAAGAGTTATTGAGTGGGGGAGTGGTGAGAAGTTGTAATTTTAAATAGATTAGTCAAGTAACTCTCACTACCACCACCACCACCATTTCAGGCAGTACCATGTGATTTAAGGAGGAATAGAAAACATTAGGTGGAATGATGGAGGAGAAAGTAGATTTTGAATTGAACTATAAAGAATGAAGAGAATTTTGAACAAATAAGGGAGGAGATGTGAATTCCAAATTAAGGGAATCGTCATAATAGTGGTATGTAGTCAGGAAAGATCAAGCCATACCTGGAGAAGAATTATTTAGGGTTCCTGCAGGAGATGAGTTACAAAGTAGGTAGTACTTAGATTTTATAGACAGTGGTTACAAATATATTTAGTTAAATGAAGAGTGTGCCAGTAAGCCAGTAGAGTTTATTAAAACAAAAACAGTATAGGAGACTGTACATAACACCATGTTAAGAAAGTTAACTCAGAAATGATGTGCAGGGTACATTAAACAGAATAGGAATGGAGACAAGGCACTCCACTAGAACACTATGACAACATTACACAAAAGAGGGGCTGGGAAGTCAAGACTTAATCAAGGGAGGCATCAGTAGGTATGGGAAGAAAAAGAAGACGGTCCTGAGAGAATAGTGAAGAAAGACACTAGACAACTTGTATCTACCTGATCTATAAGCCTTTTTCTATCTCTCTTTCAATCTCTTAGGCTCTTACATTGTATGTTATTTATTTTCCCTTCTTGGTATCTCTAAGTCTCTTTATCTTTTAAATTTTCTCTCCAGTGTCTGTATTTATTTCTCTCTTCCACCACTTAGTCTTCCTTCCCATTTGTCTTGACTTCATAACTGTACTTTACATGGTAATAACACATAGAAAATAGTAATTAAGTACTTTTACTTTTAACATTAGTAATTTCTACTTTTTTTTCTAAATTTAGTCATTATATAACTAAGACTTTTTATTCCCCATCAAAAAACCCTTGTTTTTTCTGTATGTTTTATCTGATTCTGTTTTCTAAATTTTTAGCGAAAAAAGTTTCCCAAATTTAAGATACTCTATAAAATAGTAATATGTTTTGGGGACTTAGTTTTAGAAAAATCCCTCAGGAAATTCTGCCTTTTGAATAGAATAAAGAATGCATGTCAAATGGGATTGAAAATTATGACTGTCTTCATTCCAATGTGAAGATAAATTGGCCTTGGCCCATGCAGCAGGTGATAAAATTAAAATTAGCTACCAACAGATCTGGAGGTAAAACATCACTTTACTGTGTTTACATTTCTTAATCTATTGGTGATGATGTTTTATTAAGAAGGGCCTACTAAAGAAAGAAAGGTCAAAAGCATGGCTTAAGTAGTAAGAACAGAAAAATATGACACACATATGAGGAATGTGAAGAAAAATATTTCACATTATTTAATATACAGAAAGCAATATGAAAAAGCAGGGAAATTTTCAAGTGATGAAGTCCATTAAACAAATATCTCATGAAAGAGGGAAACAGTCTTTGAATGCAAAATTCAGGAATGGAAAAATAAATAAGAAGATAATATCTAAAGA
Organism: Homo sapiens; assembly: GCF_000001405.40. Taxonomy (NCBI): domain Eukaryota; kingdom Metazoa; phylum Chordata; class Mammalia; order Primates; family Hominidae; genus Homo; species Homo sapiens. The sequence continues at coordinate 620,653 of NT_167246.2, forward strand.
GAGCAACATTGATATCTCTCATAGAACTAACTAAAGCTCAAGAATAAGTACACTTAGACTGGAGTGTATCAACTCTTCAATATCTGTCCCAACATTGCAATTATCTTTTAAACTTTCAATAAAAACAGCTGACTGGTGAAAAAGTTAATTTTGTAGTATAAGATTATTGAACCTGTGAGGTTCAATAAGTGAGTTTACTATCCAAAGAGGAAATTGGTGGCTGCCACTTGCTCCCTATAGTTTTGACAGCTTCTTTGATGTCCTTATTCCTCAATGTGTAAATTATAGGGTTTAGCATGGGGGTAACAACACTGTACAACACTGAAACCAACCTATCTTTCTTTAATGAGTAAGTTGAGATGGGCCGTACATATGTAAAGATGGCGCTGCCATAAAAGAGAAAGACAATGGCCAGGTGGGAGGCACATGTAGAAAAGGCTTTTCGTCTTCCCTCTGAGGACTGGATCCTCAAGATGGTGGAGATTATGCAAATGTAGGAAAGTACGATACAAAGGAAAGGAGTCCAACCAATGAAGACCCCAGTGGATAGCAGTGCCAACTCATTGACAGAAGTGTTTCCACAAGACAAGATCAGCAAAGGGGGGATGTCACAGAAGAAGTAATTAATCTGATTGTTGCCACAGAAGGGCAGGCAGAATGTCAACACTGTATGCACCACTGAGTTAAGGAAACCAGCAGCCCAGCATGAGGCTGCTAATTGATTGCATAGAACCTTGCTCAGAATAACTGAATACCTTAAAGGATTGCAGATTGCAATGTAACGATCATATGCCATTGCTGCCAGTAGGAGACACTCTGATCCTACAAAGAAAACAAACGCAAAAAGTTGAACCACACACCCCACATAAGAAATGCTTTTTTTCTTTGAGAGGAGGTGCACCATCATCTGGGGGACATTGCTGGTGGTGTAGCAGATGTCAATAAAGGCCAAGTTCCCTAGAAAATAATACATAGGTGTATGCAGGTGTGGATCAGTCACAGTCGTCAAGATAATTAATATATTTCCTCCCAAAGTACAGAAATAAGTCAGAAAGAAGATGGTGAATAGTAAAAACTGCAATTCATTTAGGTTGGAGAATCCCAAGATGATGAATTCAGTTATAGCTGTTTGATTCTTTCTTTCCATGATGTCGCCTGGTTTCCTTTCAGGAATTGGGCAAAGAGAAGACCAGATTATAAAAATGAATCATATGCTGCAATAGCATGACCTGAAAAATAAGGGAAAAAACGGTTACAAATAAAAGTAATCACCATTTATGTCAAACCAGAGAAGCAGCATTCTTTTGCAAACCATAGCTCCTACCTACCATGCAACACAGATATAAATACATCCAATGTTTCACCTGCAGATCAAATCTTTTTAAATATACAACACTGGAAGTTTTAAATTAGAATACAAATGGACACCATATGTCCTAGAGTTCTCTGTTAATAATGGCTGGGTCATGCTCACCGGCATTTTCTTGGGGATGTGTGAACTTGTGCTGTAGAATGCGATTTCTAGAAGAATCTCTGGTATTCATTTGCTTCTTTGAAGCCATCCCTGCTCTCCTTTTTCATACTTCAACGTTAATATAAATTTTGTTTTATATTCTTTTCCGATTAAAATTAATGTATTTGTTTTAGAATATTTGGGAAAAATATAGAAAAGAAAATTTAAAACATTAAAAATCTTTAGTAGTCACCAGAGAAAATCTCTATTAATGATTTGGTATATGTTCTTCTGATCCATTTTCCATATAGAAATGTTGAATAGAGGATCAAAAGTACCTATTTTAATCTGATTTTTCCTTAATTTTCCGTGGCAATACATTTTATGCTAAAACATGATCTTTGAGTTGTATTCAAGTATTTGTATGAATATAGCAAAGTTTTTATATATCCCACCCTTATTAATGAATATTTATATTGTTTTATTTGTTCATTTTTGATATGATAAATTTCAACAAGAAGCATATTGAATTAGATTCCCTGAATTTGGGGTTAGGTTATCTGAATTTTTATAAACTTTCCAAGAGACTTATCCTAATGAATTAGAAACCTATTGCTATAGATCATCAATCTGGAAAATTCAAGAGCTATTTGGCTGGTGCAGGAATTAGTGTCTGTTTCAACAAATTATTGTTAAGTGCTTCATATAGAAGGATGCTGATAATCTCTGAGCACTTCCTACACAGCATCTCATTTAGTCTTTACATAAATCCTTTAAGATAAGTAATATTTATCATTCCCATTCTCTGGATGAGAGCACCAAGCCTCAGCAAGATAAACGTCTGGAAGATGTCACGCAGCTAGCAGGTAAAAAAAAGGTAGCTTTATCACTCCCAAAGCTAATATACTTTCAGTTGAGTGGCTAAAAATTTAATTTCCATTAACTTATGACAACAGAATGCCCTTAAAAAACACTTCTCTTGTTTTGAATATAACCTACGTTCATACAACTGAATTATTTTAACTGGTTACAAATTGTTATGACTTCTATTTCTGACTGTTAATGGCAATGTGCTATGCCTGCAGTGTTTTGATGGTTAAATCCAATTGTTTCTAAATACCTGGTTTTTATTTGAATATGTTTATTTGAACAATCAATTTCTAGTGTAGTTTTTTATTTCCTGGACCAGCTATAGATTAATTTAAATGTTCATGTTTGTGTTATTAAAAGATACTCTTCTAGAGCTTAGTTTAAGTTGGTTAATAAAAATGTTTAATAAAATTAAAACAGTTGTAGGGAGAATCCCCTAATTTAAAATGCTCAAGGCCTAATTCAAGTGAGAAAAATTAATCTGCAGTTTGATGTTTGAAGCAAATTATAAAAACTTAGATAAATAAAACAAAATAAAAACTTAAAAATGAAGATAATTGTTGTATATTCATTCAAACTATATACTTTATCGATTGCCCTCACCTATAGACAAATATGCATTTCAATGTCAAGTTTGAGAGGTGGCTTAATTGTGCTTTTGTTGTAATTGCTGTCTTCTTTCCTCGTGAACTACTGTGGATATTTTTAATGAAGGGAGAGGATAAGTTGAAAAAATTCACATAATATAGTATTTCACATTACCACAACTGAATAAATTCACTGGGACAATTTTCATTCCATCTACAGAAGAACTCCAAAATTGTATTCTCAAATCAATCTTTTTCCCTATTCCAAATCTCTATCTCCCCTTTCATCTTTTTTAACATTTCCTTCCACTTCTGAGGAGGAATTAACCCTTCTACTCATTTTATTCAACAAATGTATTTTAAGGCAAAAATGTGGAAAAAAGGGAACTGGCACAGTGTTAATGGAAATGTAAATTAATAGAGCCATTTTGGAAAACAGTGCAGTTTCTTCAAAAAACTAAAAATGCAACTACTATGTGATCCAGCAATTCCACTTCTGGATATATATTCAAAGGAATTGAAATCAGTATCTCAAAGAGATATCTGCACTCCCATGGTCTTTGCAGCATTATTCACAGTAGCCATGGAAACAACCTAAATCTTCACCAATAGATGAATGACTAAAGAAATGTTATATATACCTGGTGGAATACTATGCAGCCTTTAAAAAAAGAAAATCCTGTCATTTCTGACATGGGTTAAGCTAGAGGACATTATGCTGAGTGAAATGAGCCAGGCACAGAAAGACAAGTATTGCATGATCTCCCTTATATGTGGAATCTAAAAAGGTCAAATCTATTGAGGTAGAAAATAGAATGGTGGTTACCAGAGTTTGAGGTAGGAGTGGACAGGGGTGGACTGGTCAAAGGGTACAAAGTTTCAGTTACACAGGAGAAGTAACTTCTAATGATTTATTGTATAGCATGGTGACTATAGTTAAAATGTATTGTATATTCCAAAATTGCTAATGGAGTGGATTTTAAATATTTTCCCCACAAAGTAATGATAAGTATGTGAGGTGGCAGATATGTTATTTAGCCTGCTGTACTCATTCCAAAATATATACATGCATTATAACATCACGTTATATATATACTGCAGACTAGAGTGGTGACAATTTGGTTGGATAGAAATAGAGGCATTTGAGAGATATTAGAATATACAGTGTTACAATTTTGGTATAAAATGACGAAGAAGGATAAATTAAGGATAGTAGTTATAACCAACATATATTAAATGCTTATTATAACATAACCATTCAACAATCATTGTATTACCCAGTTCACATGCCCACACACACCAAAAACACACACGCACACAATGAAAGAGACATATTATGTCCATATTACAAGTAAAAAATTTTAAAATAAGTTTCAGAGAAATTAAATAATTTGCCTAAAGTTACTCAGACTTGCAGTGGTGTTATTGGGTTTTACATTTCACTTTGTGGCCTAAACGAGTGCACTGTGCTGATCTAGATTCCTGGATTGAACAAGCAGATGGCTGGGGGTGTCATTCTCTGAAATGAAAGCAGGAAATTGGCACTTGTTGGCAAATCTGGCAAGATGGCTGAATAGGAACAGCTCTGCTCTGCAGCTCCCAGTGAGACCAATGCAGAAGGCAGGTGATTTCTGCATTTCCAACTGAGGTACCAGTTAGGTAACTGGTTAGGAAGCAGGTGCAGCACCTGGAGGGCAGGCAGAAGCATGGTGTGGCATCGCCTCACTCGGGAAGTGCAAGGAGCTTCCCCAGCCAAGGGAAGCTGTGAGGGACTGTGCTATTCACCCACATACTACACCTTTCCCACGGTTTTTGCAATCCGCAGACCAGGAGATTCTCTCATGTGCCTACACCACCAGGGGCCTGGGTTTCAAGCACAAAACTGGGTGGCTGTTTGGGCAGACACTGAGCCAGCTGCAGGAGTTTTTTTCATACCCCAGTGGCACCTGGAACATCAACAGACAGAACTGTTCACTCCCCTGGAAAGGGGGCTGAAGCCAAGTGCTCTCACTCAGCGGGTCCCACTCCTATGGAGCCCAGCAAGCTAAGGACCACTGGCTTAAAATTCTCACTGCCAGCACAGCAGTCTGAAGTCGACCCTGGATGATCGAGCTTGTTGTGGGGAGGGGCATCCACCATTAGTGAGGCTTGAGTAGGCAGTTTTCCCCTGACAGTGCTAAGGAGGCCTGGAAGTTTGGACTGGGTGGAACTCAACACAGCGTGGCAAAGTGGCTGTGGCCAGACTGCTTCTCTAGATTCCTCCTCACTGGGGAGGGCATCTCTGAAAGAAAGGCAGCAGTCCCAGTCAGGGGCTTAGAGATAAAACTCCCATCTTCCTGGGACAGAGCACCTGGGGGAAGGGGCAGCTGTGGGCGCAGCTTCATCAGACTTAAGCATTCCTGCCTGCCGGCTCTGAAGAGAACAGTGGATTCTGACAAGGAGGGTTCTCCCAGCACAGCGCTCAAGCTCTGCTAAGGGACAGACTGCCTCTGCCAGTGAATCCCTGACCCCAGTGCCTACTGACTGAGAGAGACTCCCCAACAGGGGTTGACAGACACCTCATAGAGGAGAGTCCAGCTGGCACTGGGCTTCCCTTTGGGATGAAGCTTCCAGAGGAAGAAGCAGGCAGTAATAGTTGCCGTTCTGCAGCCTCCACCGGTGATACTCAGGCAAATAGGGTCTGGAGTGAACCTTGAGCAAACTGCAGCAGACCTGCAGAAGAGGGGCCTGACTGGTAGAAGAAAAACTAACAAACAGAAAGCAATAACATCAACATCAACAAAAAGGACCCCCACACAAAATCCCATCCAAAGGTCATCAACCTCAAAGATCAAAGGTAGATAAATCCACGAAGATGAGGAAAAACCAGCACAAAAATGCTGAAAATTCCAAAAACATTCTTCTAGAGAAAAATGTCTTTTCTCCAAATGATTGCAACTCCTCTCCAGCAAGTGCACAAAACTGGGCAGAGAATGAGTTTGATGAATTCACAGAAGTAGGCTTCAGAAGGTGGGAAATAACAAACTCCATTGAGCTAAAGGAGCATGTTCTAACCCAATGCAATGAAGCTAAGAAATTTGACAAAAGATTACAGGAACTGCTAACTAGAAGTTTAGAGAAAAACATAAGTGACTTGATGGAGCTGAAAAACACATCATGAGAACTTCATGAAGCATACACAAGTATCAATAGCTGAATTGATCAACCAGAAGAAAGGATATCAGAGATTGAAGATCAACTTACTAAAATAAGGTGTGAAGACAATATTAGAGAAAAAAGAGGGAAAAGGAAGGAAAAAAGTCTCCAAGAAATATGGGACTATGTGAAAAGACCAAACATGTGATTGGGTGGTATACTTGAAAGTAACATGGAGAATGAGACCAAGTTGGAAAACACACTTCAAAATATTATCCAGGAGACCTTCCCCAACCTAGCAAGACAGGTCAACATCCAAATTCAGGAAATACAGAGAACACCACTAAGATACTCCTCGAGAAGGGCAACCCCAAGACACATAATCATCAGATTATCCAAGGTCGAAATGAAAGAAAAAATGTTAAGGACAGTCAGAGAGAAAGGTCAGGTTACCTACAAAGGGAAGCCCATCAGACTAACAGTGGATCTCTCCGCAGAAAACCCACAAGCCAGAAGAGAGTGGGGACCAATATTCAACATTCTTAAAAAAAAAGAATTTTCAACTCAGAATTTTGCATACAGCCAAACTAAGCTTCATAAGTGCAGGAGAAATAAAATCATTTACAGACAAGCAAATGCTGAGGGATTATGTCACCACCAGGCCTGCTTTACAAGAGCTCCTAAAGGAAGCACTAAACAGGGAAAGGAAAAAGTAGTACCAGCCACTGCAAAAACACACCGTAATATAAAAACCAAAGACACTATGAAGAAACTGCATCAACTAATGTTCAAAGTAACCAACTAGCATCATGATGAATGGATCAAATTCACACTAACAATATTAATCTTAAATGTAAATGGGCTGAATGTCCCAATTAAAAGACACAGACTGGCAAATTGAATAAAGTGTCAAGACCCATCAGTGTGCAGTATTCAGGAGACCCATCTCATGTGCAAAGACACACATAGGCTCAAAACAAAGGGACAGAGAAATATTTACCAAGCAAATGGAAAGAGAAAAAAAAAGCAGGGGTTGCAATCCTAGTCTCTGATAAAACAGAATTTAAACCGACAGAGATCAAAAAAGACAAAGAAAGGCATTACACAATGGTAAAGGGATCAATGCAACAAGAAGAGCTAACTATCCTAAATACATATGCACCCAATAAAGGAGCACCCAGATTCATAAAACAAGTTCTTACAGACCTACAAAAGACTTAGACTCCCATACAATAATAATGGAAGACTTTAACACTCCACTGTCAATATTAGACAGATCAATGAGACAGAAAATTATCAAGAATATTCAGGACTTGAATTCAGCTCTGGACCAAGCAGACCTAATAGACATCTACTGAACTCTCCACCCCAAATCAACAGAATATACATTCTTCTCAGCACCACATAGCAATTATTCTAAAATCGACCACATAATTGGAAGTAAAACACTCCTCAGCAAATGCAAAAGAATGGAAATCAAAACAAACAGTCTCTCAGACCACAGTGCAATCAAATTAGAACTCAGCATTAAGAAACTCACTCAAAACCTCACAACTACATGAAACCTCACAATTACATTAACAACCTGCTCCTGAATGACTACTGGGTAAATAATGAAATTAAGGGAGGAATAATGAAGTTATTTGAAACCAGTGAGAACAAAGAGACAATAAACTATAATCTCAGGGACACAGCTAGAGCAGTGTTAAGAGAAAAATTTAGAGCACTAAATGCCCACGTCAGAAAGCAGGAAAGATTTAAAATTGACCCCCTAACATCACAATTAAAAGAGCTAAAGAAGCAAGAGCAAACACATTCAAAAGCTAGCAGAAGACAAGAAATAACTAAGATCAGAGCAGAACTGAAGGAGATAGAGACACGAAAAACCCTTCAAAACATCAGTGAATGCAGGAGCTGGTTATTTGAGAAGATTAACAAAAGAGATAGACTGCTAGCCAGACTAGTAAAGAAGAAAAGAGAGAAGAATCAAATAGACACAATAAAAAATGGTAAATGAGTTATCACCACTGATCCCACAGTAATAGAAACTACCATGAGAGAATACTATAAATATCTCTATGCAAATAAACTAGAAAATCTAGAAGAAATGGATAAATTCCTGGACACATACACCCTTCCAAGCCTAAACCAGGAAGAAGTCGAATCCCTGAATAGACCAATAACAAGTACTGAAATTGAGGCAGTAATTAGTAGCCTAAAAAAACAAAAAATCTCCAGGATCTGATGGATTCATGGCTGAATTCTACCAGAGGTACAAAGAGGAGCTGGTACCATTCGTTTTGAAACTATTCCAAACAATAAAAAAGAGGGACTCCTCTCTAGCTCATTTTATGAGGCCAGCATCATCCTGATACCAAAACCTGGCAAAGACACAACAAAAAAAGAAAATTTCAGTCCAATATCCCTAATGAACCTCGATGCAAAAATGCTCAATAAACTACTGGCAAACCAAATCCAGCAGCACATCAAAAATCTTATCCACTACAATCAAGTCGGCTTCATACCTGGGATAAAAGGCTGGTTCAACATACACAAATCAATAAACATAATCTATCACATAAACAACCAATGACAAAAACCACATGATTATCTCAATAGATGCAGAAAAGGCCTTTGATAAAATTCCATACCCCTTCATGCTAAAAACTCTCAATAAACTAAATATTGATGGAACATATATATAAAAAAAGACCTATTCACAACAAACCCATAGCCAATATCATAATGAATGGGCAAAAGCTGGAAGCGTACTCTTTGAAAACCTGCACAAGTCAAGGATGCCCTCTCTCACCACTCCTATTCCACATAGTATTGGAAGTTCTGCCCAGGGCAATCAGGCAAGAGAAAGAAATAAATGGTATTCAAATAGGAAGAGAGGAAGTCTAATTGCCTCTGTTTGCAGATGACATAATTGTATATTTAGATAACCCCATCATCTCAGCCCAAAACTCCTTAGGCTGATGAGCCACTTCAGCAAAGTCTCAGGATACAAAATCAATGTGCAAAAATTACAAGCATTCCTATACACCAATAATAGACAAGCAGAAAGCTGAATCATGAGTGAACTCCCATTCACAATTACCATAAAAAAATAAGATACCTAGGAATACAACTTACAAGGGATGTGATGGACCTCTTTAAGGAGAATTACAAACTGCTTCTCAAGGAAATAAGAGAGGACACAAATGAAGAGAAAAAAATTCCATGGTCATGGATACGAAGAATCAATACTGTGTAAATGGCCATACTGCCCAAAGTAATTTATAGATTCAATGCTATTCCCATCAAGCTACCATTGATTTTCTTCTCAGAACTAGAAAAAACGACTTTAAATTTCATATGGAACCAAAAAAAGAGCCCGTATAGCCAAGACAATCCTAAGCAAAAAGAACAAAGCTGGAGGCATCATGTTACCTGACTTCAAACTAGACTACAAGGCTACAGTAACCAAAACAGCATGATACTGGTACCAAAACTGATATATAGACCAATGGAACAGAACAGAGGCCTCAGAAATAACACCACACATCTACAACCTGACAAACCTGACAAAACCTTTGTTTTGACAAACCTGAAAAAACCTGACAAACCTGACAAAAACAAGCAATGGGGAAAGGATTCTTTGTTGAATAATTGGTGCTGGGAAAATTGGCTAGCCACATGCAGAAAACAGAAACTGGACCCCTCCCTTACACCTTATACAAAAATTAACTCAAGATGGATTAAAGACTTAAACATAAAACCTAAACCCATACAAACCCTAGAAGAAAACCTTGGCAATACCATTCAGGACATAGGCATGGGCAAAGACTTCATGACTAAAACACCAAAAGCAATGCAACAAAAGCCAAAATTGACAAACGGGATCTAATTAAACTAAAGAGCTTCTGCATAGAAAAAAAAAAAAAAACTATCATCGGACTGAACAGGAAACCTACAGAATGGGAGAAAATTTTGGCTATCTATCCATCTGGCAAAGGTCTAATATCCAGAATCTACAAGGAACTTAAACATATTTACAAGAAAAAACAAACAACCCCATCAAAAAGTGGGTGATGGATATGAACAGACACTTCTCAAAAGAAGACATTTATGTGGCCAACAAACATATGAAAAAAAGCTCATCATCATGGGTCATTATAGAAATGCAAATCAAAACCACAATAAGATACCATCTCACGCCAGTTTGAATGGAAATCATTAAAAAGTCTGCAAACAGCAGATGTTGGCGAGGATGTGGAGAAATAGGAAGGCTTTTACATTGTTGATGGGAGTGTAAATTAGTTCAACCATTGTGGAAGGCAGTGTGGCAATTACCCAAGGATCTATAACCAGAAATACTATTTAACCCAGCAATCCCATTACTGGGTATATACCCAAAGGATTATAAATCATTCTACTATAAAGACACATGCATACGTAGGTTTATTGTGGCATTATTTAAAGTAGCAAAGACTTGGAACCAACACAAATGCCCATCAATGATAGACTGGATAAAGAAAATGTGGCACATATATACCATGGAATACTATGCAGCCATAAAAAAGAATGAGATCATGTCCTTTGTAGGGACATGGATGAAGCTGGGAACCATCATCCTCAGCAAACTATCACAGGAACAGAAAACCAGACACTACATGTTCTCACTCATAAGTGGGAGTTGAACAATGAGAACACATGGACACAGGGAGGGAACCTCACACACTGGGGCCTGTTGGGGAGTAGGTGGCAAGGGGAGGGAGAGCATTAGGACAAATAGCTAATGCATGCGGGGCTTAAAACCGAGATGACGTGTTGATCAGTGCAGCAAACCACCATGGCACATGTACACCTATGTAACAAACCTGCACATTCTGCATATGTATCCCTGAACTTAAAGTAAAGTATATTAAAAAAAAAAAAAAAAAAAAGGAAATCCAGGGGGAGATCATGTGTTCAGTTTTGGCCATGCTGAATTTGAGATATCTGAATATCTAAGAAAATATGTTTATTTGACATATTTTGGTATGTGGCCTCAGAGGAGAGGTATGTACTAGAGATACGAATTTGTAACACATCAGCATATAGAGGATAGTTGAAACTACTCCTATGGATGGGAGAGTGTGAAGTAGGAAAAAAGAGAACACAGAATTGAACTTTCTCAGAACTAATTTCCTGCATGTAGAAGCTAAACTATGAGACTAAGAAGGAGAAGCATAAAAGTAGAAAGAAATTCAAGGAAGCACTGAATTACAGTTAGTGTATGAAAGAGTGCTGTTATTAAAAGAACTGTTTGTGAAAATAAGGGGCCCCATTTTTCTTGCCAGACCATTCCTCATGAGAAAAGCTATCCTGCAGAGAACTGCCCTCCAACACAAACATAGGTCATTATGAGATGGTATCAGCTGTCCAGTTCTCAAAATAGCGAAGGAGGACACACTTGGCTCAGCAGCCCACCTCCCTTCTCAGGGTTTCTTACACATTAAGAGAAGGAATTACTTTCTCCTGGGGATCTCCTGATGCTTTTGTTTTGTTACCCAAGTCCTCTATGTTCTGTGATCATTGCCCTTTACTTCAAAACATGCCTTTCCCATGTCCCTATTTGTGGGGAAGCTGTTGTGATAAAACGACTAAATGAAATAACTTAAACAATAATGTATTACTCCTCTAAGGTTATTTGCCTTAAAATAAGAATTTTCTTTTTCAGAATAGCCTCTTAATTTTAGTCATTTTTTTATCCACTCAGCCTGTATGTTTTTCTTCCTGCTTTCATTTCTGTCTGCTAATCTACATATTTTTAAAGCTCAGCTTAAATGCCTCTTTTCTCTTCAAGTGAAATGCTTCTGTCCCTTCCTGGAAAATCTATAGGCATTTGTTTCAATCTTGATTATGACACATAACACACAACATACTTATTTGTGTGACATATCACTTGTTTGTCCATAATATCTTATGGTGCATATTCTGTCTTACTAATCTATTTCTCAATGAATTAATACGTAACTGGGGACACAGTGGTCTTACATTCAGTAATGGATTACTACTGTTGGAATATAAGGCAGTATAGCAAAATTTTCCAAGAAAACAATTGTATTTCCTCCCTTTTTTACATACTTATTATGATGTAGAACTTGGAAAAAATGTTCAGACCTTACATATTATTTTTATTCTTATAACATTTATATTAGTTAGAGTAGAGGAGTCTGTAATTTATGGTGGATTACTTATAAGATCAAATAGTTAACAAGTAGTGAACTAAGAGTAGAAAAAAATTCTTCTATTTCCAAATCTAGAACAACATCCTGCAGCTGGTACTCAAATTGTGCTACATGGGTCATTGTTGCCTCTCATAGGCATAGATTGACCCTGAGACAGAATAGAATTCACCACGCAAAGCACAAGTATTTCACACAGAGTTATAGGAAAATTACTGCTTTTCCAAGCAGCCATGGTCTTGACTCCTTACTAAAGAACCGAAACTTGATATAATACAAGGACAACTGAGAAAATGTTTTCAGAATTTCATATCATAGTAAAGAGCTCAAGAATGGCCTCTAAGAACCCACAAGGAGAGGCCCCCAGAAAATTCACGAGAATGTTTGCCCTCCAAGCTCAGTCTTGACTTTTTCATTTCCTTCTAACAGACCCAGTAGCTCTTCATTAAAGAGTGTTCTCAAAAAAGAGACCTTAGAAATTCAGAATCTTAAAATTTCAAATTTTCTCAAAATATACTATCCAGTTTCTTACTAAAAACTGAAATCACATAGCAAACGTGAAAATCAGTGTGGCTAAAGCTCAATCAATAATAGCTAGCATGCAAGGTTATTAGATCCACATGAAAGATGGTTTCTTGTGAGAAAGTCACACAAAGTGTGTTCCTGATACTATTCTCTGCAGTCCAGTGGCATTTTAGTCTCTTTTTGCAGAATAAATACACTGTCCTTTATTTAATAAAAAATCAGCAAACCAGCAGAGGGCTATTCTGAATGACATAAAAATTACCCAAAATGAAAGAAGCTTCCTGATTCACATACTCAGTAGGCTGATTGTCACCCAAAGCATGGGACAGACAATTTTATTATTCCCTCCTTTGGAACTCCTCAGGTCATTACACTTCCATCTCCTACACAGTTAGTCTCATATCCAAAAAGCAAGACAGAAAAGTGTATCTCTAAGAGCAATGAAGCTATAGTTAAGCAATTAAAAATACTTACTCACTCACCTGTGATTGGAGATATTGAGCAGAGATTACCATTCAGACTCTGAGAGACTGATATGGGGCTGTTTTTAAGAATACAACGAAGTAACACAAAATAATGTTCCCTACAGAGTCTGTGCTGATAAACTTCTGAGTGATGGGTTTTCTAGGTGAGTGCCAAGACTCTACTCAGTCCCTGAAGGCCAGTGCATGGGACTGGAGTGAGTAAGGAAAATGCCCTTTGGATTAAGAAGATCCCCACATCTTATGGGAATATTTCAAGAGCCTCGGAGACACACGTTGGGGATCTTCAAGCACAAGTCCTGAGACTCACTACTTCTGGTTCCTGCTTCAACCCCTGAGCATCTATTTGTCTTCTAGTGGCTCTGTTGCCATCATAATTATGCTTCAGAAAGTGTCCTGTGGAGTCCGACCTGCTCCAGGTGGACCACTACCTCCTGGCCCACATCTGTCTAGTGAGAAACAACCCACATGCTTCCCCTATTAACACAGGAAATGCAGTTCTCTAGATTTTGCTTCTTGGCCATGTAAGAAATATCAGTCTTTGGACTCCAAAATTCCAGATGTAGAAATCAAGCTCTCTAACTGGTTTTTCTCTCAGCTTAAATTAGGAGAAAGCATCCTCATTTCCTCCTGGAGGTGGGGGAAGCTTACATTGCACACTACTTCTCACTGAAGAAATATTCTTCAGCCACTGAAGACTGATTAGTCCTCCAAATATCTATTCCTTTGCATGTTATGTGTTCTTGAAGATGTATCAAAAACTCACTAACGAATATACAGTATCCATATATTTTGTGATAGATTAAATATTAATTTTGAGCATGACTTGTAAATTAAAAGTATAATTGCTTGATTAATTTTGATCCTATAATTATTTAAGAATTGAGGCAGCTAAGTATGCCACTATCACATAAAAACAGAATTTCTGAATCCTTTGACCTCTAATGATTATATTGCCTGCCCTTTAAAATTAAGAATTTGGATTAAAGAAGAGTTATTTCTCCCAGATTCATATGGTTCTTAATCATCACCTATGGCTTAAAATCAAATCTCAATTCTCAACAAATTAATTACCTACTAGGCATTATCCAATTTCATCACTTGCTAAATTCTTACCGGCTGACTTGGGTACACACAGCAAGAGAGTTATCATCTGAAGATATCTATGAGTGGTTATTTCACTCCAAAAACAGACGATAATAAATTTTGCATTATTCATTTATTGTATCTAACATTCATTACCAATAAGTCTTTTTAAATTTTTTTATTTTATATTTATTTTTAGTTTTTACTTTTTTAAAAAAATTCAACTTCTATTTTAGACATAGTGGATATATGTGCAGATTTGTTACATGGGAATATTGCATGATGTTCAAATTTGGAGTATGGATCTCACCACCCTGGTAATGAGCCTAGTACCTGGCTTGATAGGCAGTTTTTTAACCCATCCTCCCCCATCCCTGAAGCCTCTGGTAGTCCACAGTGTCTATTGTTCCCATACCTATGTTCATGTGTGCTCAATGCTTAACTCCCACTTATAAGTTACAACATGCAGTATTTGGTTTTCTGTTCCTGTGTTAACTTGCTTAGAATTATGCCCTCCAGCTCCATCCATGTTGCTGCAAAGGACATTATTTTATTCTGTTTTTATGGCTGCATAGTATTCCATGGTGCATATGTAACACATTTTCTTTATCCAGTCTGTCATTCCACATCTTTGCTATTGTGAGCAGCGCAACAATGAACATGTGAGTGTATGTATCCTATTGGTAGAATGATTTATTTTATTTTGATATATACCCATTAATGAGATTGCTGTATTGAATAGTAGTTCTGTTTTAAATTATTTGAGAAATCTCCAGACTGCTTTTCACAGTTGCTGGACTAATCCACATTCCCACCAACAGCATATAAGCATTCCCTTTTCTCTGCAGCTTTGATAGCATCTGTTGTTTTTTGACTTTTTAAATAGTCATTCTGACTGGTGTGAGATAATATCTCACTGCAGTTTTGATTTGCATTTCCCTGATAATTAGTGATGCTGATAATTTTTTCGTATGTTTGTTAGCCACATGTATGTCTTCTTTTGAGAGTGTTTTTTCATGTCCTTTGCCCATTTATTAATGGGATTATTGGCTTTCTGCTTGTTGACTTAAACTTTAAGTTCCCTATAGATTCTGGATATTAGGCCTTTGTCAGATGCATTGTTTGTGAATATCTTCTCCCTTTCTGTAGATAGTGTGTTTGCTCTGTTGATAGTTTCTTTTGCTGTGCAGAAGCTCTTTAGTTTAATCAGGTCTCACTTGTCTATTTTTGTTTTTGTTGCCATTGCTTTTGGTGACTTAGCCAAAAATCTTTTGCCAAGGCCGATGTTGAGAAGAGTATTTCCTAGGTTATCTTCCATGATTTCTATAATTTGAGGTCTTACATTTAAATCTTTAATCAATTTTGAGTTAACTTTTGTATAGGGTAAAAGGTAGGTATCCAGCTTCAATCTTCTGTATATGACAAGGAAGTTATCCCCGCACCATTTATTAAATAGGGAATCATTTCCCCATAGCTTGTTTTCTTCTTATAAATCTAGGAGTTTGGGGTGTCTTTGCTTTTTATGATGTATAATAAGGGATTTACCAATAATGTGTGCTCTCTAACATTAAATCAGCTGTTTTTTTCCAGTGAATAAATTGAGATTAAATGAGTGTACGTGACTATAAATGGCCATAACAAAAAAGAAATAGATAGGGTAGAGACAAAAAGGAAAAAAAATTTCACTTCCTTTTTAAAGATGATCTATTCAGAATAATAAAAATGAGGTGAAAATAGGAAAATATTATTAAGAGCAAAATAATAGTAGAATCAACTCTTTTATAGAGATATACTCATAGAACAGAGTAGGAAAACAGGGACATCATACACTGAAATATTTGCTCTGTTTGTTTCTACAAAAAAAGGAGAAAAAAAGTTAACAAAGTGTGAATTTAAGATAAGGCCTGGAGTGCTGGCTCACACCTGTAATCCTATCACTTTGGGAGGCAGAGGCAGGAAGATCCCTTGAGCCCAGGAGTTCAAGACCAGCCTGGGAAACATAGGGCGACTCTGTCTCAATTTAAGAAAAAAAAAATATAAGCATCAACCCTGAACAGTATTGCCAGCTACATATGTTGTACCTCGATCAGGAGTGACTACATTAGTGCCTGTGATTTAGATTATATCACACTAATGTTATTGATACTAGAAAGTAGTCGTGTGTACCCACAACAGATAGGAAGATCTACATTCCGCAACCTCAAAAATAATGATTTTTGTGTTTCATTACTTGCCATAATAAAGTAACGAGATTTTCTCTCCTGATTAAACATCTAAAAAATGGAATAAAATATATAAAGCAATGATTTTAATACACTGTACAAGACAGGGTTGGGTATGTCCCATGACCCATCAGCCTGATTGGAACAGCTTGTAATAGACAAGGACTTAGGTGGAGTCCTGAGAAGGATATTACCTTAGTAGTGGGGGCTAAATTAATCTCAGAATAAACAATGTTCTGGATCTACCTTAACAAAAAAAAAGTATGCCTCAAAATAAGCATAATAATTTAGGGGAAATACAGACATAAAAAGAGAGAGATTTTTTTAAAGACCCACATAGAACTTGTTTAAATAAAAAATACAAAATATAAAGTGAAAAATGCAGTGCATGGAATAAACAGTAGATTAATTACTGCAGAAGAAAAAATCAAGGAACTTGGAGATATAGATATAAAAACAATCCAAAATGAAGCACAGAGAAATCTTTTTAATAAAATGGACAAAGTATCAATGACCTATGTCATAATTTCAAGCAGTCTAACATATGTGCAAGTGGAGTACTAAAGAAGTGTTTGATTAAAAACATTGAAGAAGTAATGACTGAGTTTTTCCAAATTTGATAAAATATATAATCTATAGATCCAAGAAGCTCAATAAAAATTAAATAGAATAAATATTAGAAAACTTTACAATGAACATCATAATCTATTTGCTAAAAAAGTCATAAAGAAAAATCTTAAAATCAGCAAGAGAAAAATCAACACAGTTATTACAAAGGAATAAAGATAAGAATGGCAGCATGCATCCCACCAGAAATTATGTGAGACAGGTAATGGAGCAACAGCTTTAAAGCACATAAACAAAAGTCTGCCAATTTAAAATTTTATATACAGAGAAAACATCTCTTAAAAATAAGGGCAAAGTACTTTTTCATGCCAACAAAAGCTGAAGTAAATTATTACCAGCAGAACTTTACTACAAGAAATAGTTAAGGAAAGTCTTTAGACAACAACAACAAAAAAATGATACGAGATGAAAATCAGTGTCTCCATGAAGGGACCAAAAGTGCCAGAAATTATAAATATGTGTTTAAGTGTAAAAGACATTTTTATTATTTTTAATTACCTTAAAAATAATAGAATTTTTCAAAAAAAACAGAATTGCAGTATCTTGGATACTAATAACATAAGTAAAAGTAAAATGTGTGACATTAAAATCACAAAGCATGAGCAGGGAGATGGAAGTACAGTATGGCATGACTCTAGCAATACATCTTAAATGGTGTAATATTATGTGAAGAAATATTTTGTGAATTTAAAATGTACATTGTAAACCCCAGAGTAACCACAAAAATATAAAATAAAAAGGTATAAATAAAAGGACAATAGTGAAAATATAATGAAATCATAAAAATATTCCCATAAAAAACAGTAAATGAAAGAAGAAGCAATAACGGACAAATAGGACAAATGAAAGGCAAACAGTTGGAGGACAAATTTAAATTTAATTCTATCAAAAATTTAGTTGGAGGATAAATTTAAATTTAATTCTATCAAAAATTTATCAAATTTAAATTGTGCAAACACTCCAACTGAAACAAAGAGCTTGTCACATTGGCTTAATGGGTATGAAAATGCAGTTAGATAGAATGAAGAACTTCTAGTATTCAACAGTAAACTAATGCAGGGACAGTAATGTAGGTTTAGCTTGATTGTGGTAGTCTCTTCACAATGTGTACATATACTAAAGCATCATGTTGTGAAGCCTAAATATATGCAATTTTTATTTGTTAATTATACTTCAATAAGCTGGGGAAAAACAAGATATTTTCAATGGCTAGAAAAATCTCTCCCTAAAATTAAATACCCATTAAAAATTCTCTTCAAGAATTAAGATTAACAAAAATGATATTCTAGATAAAAACTGTTGTGAGAAAAATTATCATCAGTACATTCCTGCTGAAGGAAACACAAAAGGAAAAAAAATAGGCAAAAATAAAGATTATCTCATATGGAATTTCAGTAAGATACTTCTATTACTTGGAAAATTCCAAAGGTTTTTGTCCTAGGAGAAATGCCACATTCTTTTTTACACAGCAGATTCCTACTCTAACCCTCCCCATACTTCCTACCTCCTTAGTTCTCCTTGCCACCGAATTATCCTGACATATGTACTTACGCGTTTGGTTATTTGGGGCCTCCATCACATTAAACTTTATGTTTGATGACATTATGGAATTTGTTTTGCTTGCTCCTGTGTTTCTTGAACCTACTACACTGCCTAATATAATATGTGCTCAAAATTTTTGAAAGAAAAATATAAACCAGGTAAACAAATCATTTCTTACAGTGAAGTGATGGAAATCAGTCTTAATAGAAATCAGATATCCCTCATTAGTCCTAGTGGTGTTGCTGCCAGTCTTTAAACAACTTCCTACCAAAGATTTTCTTCAGAGCCATCATCACTTCTTTGTTCCTAAGGGTGTAGATTAGTGGATTCAGTACAGGGGTGACGGCGCTATACATGATGGCCATTATCCGGTCCTGAATCATGGAGGTGGCTGAAGCAGGACGAATATATGTGAAGCCCACAGGTCCATAGAAAAGACATACCACCATAAAATGGGAGGCACAAGTGGACAGAGCCTTGTGGAGTATTCTGCAGGACCTGTTCTTAAACAGAAGGAAGCCAATTACATAGAAGCAGGAGAGAAGAGTCAGAAAGAAAGCTCCCATGGATATGCTGCCTGTGACAATGGAAAGAAGCCATTGATTGAGTAATGTGTCACTACAGGCCAATTCTAAGAGCGGCTTGACATCGTAGAAGAAGTGATTGAGTTTCTGAGAGCCACAAAAACTCAGGTGTGCAGTCATGACAGAATGCATCAGAGCGTAAAAGAAGCTGATGAGCCAGGCCGCAGCTGCCAACAGAATACACACCTGGGGGTTCATGATGACAGTGTAGCGAAGAGGATTGCAGATGGCAACAAAACGGTCAAAGGCCATGATAGCCAGTAAAATGGCCTCTGTGCTTCCCAAAAAGTGGAAGAAGTGTAGCTGGGTGATACAGCCTAGAAAAGATATAGCCCTGCGACTGCACACGAGGTTTACAAGCAGCTTGGGCAGTGTCACTGAAGAATAAGAAATATCCAGACAAGAAAGGTTTCCCAGAAAAAAATACATAGGGGAGTGGAGTTGTGGTTCCAAAACAACCATCACCAATATAGATCCATTTCCAATCAAGTTTATCAGGTAAATGATTAAGAAAATCCCAAAGAAGAAAGGCTGCAGCTCCTGAACACCAGTCAGGCCAAGTAGAAGAAACTCATTCATTGTAGTGACATTCTCCATTGCTCTGGGAAGCAAATTTAACAATAACAGAATTAATTTTTCTGAATTTTTAATTTTACACTGTGAGGATTAAATAAAGCAAGTTTACTATTTGGAGGAACCTAGGGGTGAGCAACAGTGTGAAGAATAGTTACGAACAGTAAAACTAAATTTATGTACAACAAAATTGAGGAAGACTAATATACCTGATAAATTCTGAGCTGTTAAAATGGCACTAGACTAATAAAAGCATTATATTATGAACAAATCAGATATAGATAAAGGGCATCTGTTTTCAAAACTAGGAAGTGCAAGATTTGATGGACATAATCATAACCTCATGTATGGCATTAGAATTATGTATTACAAAAATTTTAAACATACAAACAGGGAATAGTTTTTCAACTTATGATTCTAGGTTCTGGCAAAAATTCAGATGTAGCTCAGTGGGGATTTCATCACTTCTTCTAAGATACATAAAAGCCACAAGAGAGTAACACATGTCTTCTGACAACCCAAACTTTCAGTGAAAGTAAGAAACATAAACACCCACAAACCAAATGTTGTATGAGTAGAGGAGAAAAAAACAGCAAAATTAGCATCATTAGTCACAAGACTGTGTCATAGCAATGAGGCAGTGGATGTAGTTGGGAAAAACTTGAAATAGTTAGAGGTCCCATTAGTAGAAGAACTTCGAAAACACCCCCAATTTTTCAATCCAAAAGGGGAGTACCTCCCAGGGAGTGAGAATTTCTGTGGGGCAGGGGATAGAAAAAGGCACAGTCTAAGCACTGAAGGTGATGGAGAGAAGAGGTATAGTAAATATATGAAGAACAAAGGAAGCTTGTCATTTGTAAGTAATTAATAATAATAATAATAATAACAATAATAATCACCACCTTATCAACAGAAGAGGGAGCCCTTGCACTGAGGAATTGGAAATGCTAACTAGGATACTCCTCCCACCCATGCCTACTAAGATTCTTCTGTTAATAATTGGTCCACAATATCATAAGTTCTCCAGTGTAAGTTCTCCGTAAAATAACTCTAAAAATCGACAGAAATAAAGACATAGTTAAAACCACAATCACAATGAGAAGATTTAACAAGTTTCTCTCTATACCTGACAGAATAATCAGCCAAAAAGTCAGTAAGGATATAAACATCTGAACAACATAATTTACAAATTTGATTAACATATAAAGAACACTGAACCCAACCAAAAAATAATTCACATTATTTTCAAGTATATCTTGTACATATTTACAAAATCAAGCATGAGTTGAGTATTACCAAAAGGCTTCAAAAGGTTTCAAAAGGTTGAGCTATTCAAAGAATGTCCCTTGACCACACTGGAATTAAAAAACAATAAGAAAAATGCATCTAGAAACTCACCAATTTCTTCATATTATGTAATACACACAAATAATTCATAAAGAAAAAATTCAAATAAAATTAGAATAAAATTGAAATGAACAATGATGAAGATGAGATATATCAAAACTTTTGGCATATAGCTAAAGAAATAAATAGAGGGAAATTGTCAGCCTTAAATGCATATGTTAGAAAAAAAGAAATATTGAAAAACCAATAACCTAAACTTTCATTTCAAACAGCTAAATGAATGAATGCATGAATGAATGAACAAATAATCCAATAACTCAAACCTAAACAAAGTAGAAGGGAAATAGCTAAAATAATAACAAGAATAATTGAAATAGAAAACAAAAGTTCAATAAAGAAAAGTCAACAAAGTCAAAATTTAGTCATTTGAAAAGATTAATGAAAGTTATCAACTCAGTAAAATTGTTAAAAGAGAGAGAGAATACAAATTTTAAGCTAGTATCACTACAGATACTATCAACGTCAAACATTGTAAAAGGTCGTTATGAGCGACTTCATGCCCAAGAATTTGGCAATTTAAATAAAATTTTAAAATTACTTAAACCAAAAGTAACTTACCAAAATTGACAGTAGAAGAAGGACAATTTCAATAGTTTGATATTTATATAGGAAAGTGTAGTTCTTATTCAAAATTTTTCCAGAAAGGAAACACCAAGTCCAGATTTTACTGGTGAATTCTACCAAATAATTAAGGAAGAAATAATAACTTACACAAATACTTTCAAAACAATGAAAAAGGAGCACTTCTATATTTCTTTTATAAGGTTAGCACAACTTTGATACCAACACTTTAAAAAGAACTCAACAGAGGCCAGGCGCGGTGGCTCACGGCTGTAATCCCAGCACTTTGGGAGGCCGAGGAGGGCGGATCACGAGGTCAGGAGATCTAGACCATCCTGGCTAACATGGTGAAACACCGTCTCTACTAAAAATACAAAAAATTAGCCTGGTGTGGTGGCAGGAGCCTGTAGTCCCAGCTACCCGGGAGGCTGAGGCAGGAGAATGGCTTGAACCCGGGAGGAGGAGCTTGCAGTGAGCTGAGGTCGCGCCACTGCACTCCAGCCTGGGCGACAGAGCGAGACTCCATCTCAAAAAAAAAAAAAAAAAAAAAAACTTAACAGAAAGGAACTGCAGACTAACCTGTCTTGTGACTATAGATGCAAAAATCTTGAAAAAATGCATAAAAACAAGCAATATCTACATCGCAACCAAATAAAATTTATTTCAAGATGTAAGGGTAATTTAACATTAAAAAATAAATTAATACAATAGCCATATTAGAGAAAGAAAACAAGAAACACCACAGATGCAGTAAAAGCATTTGATTATATTTAGCACCCACTCATGATTTAATAAAATAATCCTTAGCAAACTAGGGATACAAGGGAAATTAGTTTATTTGATAAAATTAATAAAAAATACCATAAGAAAAGATCATACCTAATGAAGAAACATGAAAAGTTTCAGATCAGGAATGAGACAAGGATTTCTCCTATCATCACTTTTTTGAACATTGTCCTAGAGGTTCTAGCCAGTGTCATAAAGCAAGAAAAAAATAAATAAAATACTTTAGAATTAGAAAGGAAAAAATAAAACTCATTTTCATAGATGATATGCCTGTATGGTTAGAAGATTTCTGAGATATGAGGACATTAAACAAGAATTAAATATATTTTATATGCTAACCACAATCAAATGAAAATAAAATGTCCAATGATATTTTCAATAGCATCAGAAACAATAAATGTATAGAAATAAAACTAAACAAAAATATATAAGATCTCTATCCTAAAAACTACAAAACATTATTCTGAGGAAATAAAGAATATCTAAATAAATAGAGGAATATGGTATATTCATGGGCTGAAAGATATACTATAATGAAGATGTCTACTCTCCTAAAAGTAATCTAAAAAGTCAACGCAATCCCAGTACAAGTCCCTGATTTTTAAAATATAAAATTGTCAAGCTGATTTTAAAAGTTACATAGAAATGCAAAGGAATGGGGAACCTGAAAACCCCCTGGGGCTGGGTTCTCACCTGCATCTGGAGACCTTCCTGAGCCCCCAGCAACAAAACCACAATGCAGTGCCACTGCACAATAACTAGAACAGTTAAAATAAAAAAGTGATGGAAAACACCAAGTGTCAACAAGGATGTAGAGCACCCTGAGCACTCATATACTCCTCCAGGGAGTTTAATCAGCATAGTGATTTTGGAAAACAATCTGGCAGTATCCTCAAGCTAAACATACGCATATATGAATAAGCCAGAAATTCCATTCCTAGGTATATAGCCAATAGAAGGTGCACATACCAAAATATATAAAAATGTTCATAGCAGCAATATTTTTTATCAAAAACTGACAACTATATAAATGTCCATCAACAAAATGAAACATTGTGAAGGAGTCAAAATGAACTACAGCTATATTAAGTAATATGGATGAAGCTGTTTCTTCATGTGGGTGTGTTGGTTATACAGATATGTCATTTTGTGAAAATTTATTGAGACTCAGGATTTATCCACTTTTCTGTGTGTGTGTTGTACTTTATATGTCATATAAACTTTTACAGAAAAAAAGAGAATAAGAGAGGAAACAATAATCTTGGATTTGGAAATGATTTTCTAAATATCATAGAAAAACCTGAAGCAATAAAAGATTACCAAATTTGACTACATAGGCATCGAAAATGTCTGCATGACAAAAATCCTACAAATAAAAGATCAAAACGCATCCAGGAATAAAATCACAAAGCAAATTGTAGACCATGTGCTAACATTCTTAATATATAAATTATTTAATAAACCTAAAAGACACAGACCAATTTTTTTTAAAGAGAGAAACATACAGACAATTTATAGAAAAGGAAATATGAATAGATCTTAAAGATAGGAAAAGATGCTCAACCTCATTAAAAATAAGAAAAATGCAAATTGAAATATGACATGCAGGCAAGCGCTACAGCAGGCTGCCGTGAGCACTGTAAAGAGCACCAACGCGCTGCACCTCGACTCCCACCCCACTTAGTCACAAGCACATGCCCATCTGCTCAAGGCATGTTCTGCCGCTGCCCAGCTCAGGTCTAAGCACCCAGCAAGTTTGAGATTTTTCGAAATAAAATAACTTAAAAACAGTGATTTTGACTTCCGGATAAGATGGTATATACAGGTTTCTCCCATCTCCCTTCCCATTAAGTACAACTACAAACCGTAGAAACAATACAAGAGGTAACCAAAAAAGAATTCTCAAATGTGGGAAGGTGAACTGCTTTGGGATTCCAGAACTGTAGGAACCACACAGCAGCAGGGCTGTCCCTTCACCCAACTAAAGAAGGCAATTAGTTTATTTGACAAAAAATGTTTGCCTCTTCCAACACGCCATCCCACAACAAAAGGCAGCCTAGGTAGGTTTTTTCCTGCCTCCTATCAAAAGGTAGTTCCTCCAACAACACAGCACTTGAGTAAGGGGGGCCCATCAGGAATTCTACTAACCCAGAGAAGTACTCTACTCAGCTCCTCTCTCCCTGCTGTCTGGCATTCTCTTCCCCTAAAGAGAGACAACAGGGCAGTCAGGTGGCATCTGGAGAAGGACCCCACCATAACAAGCATCCTGGCCCTCGGGCCCTGCAGGCCTGAGACTTCCTTCTGCCACCCACAGACACCAGAGTGAGAAAGGGGGAAAGAGGGCACCAGCAAGAAATATTCCAATTTGACAATCATCCAGCAAGTAGCAGTCTCTGTCCGGCACAAGCAGGCAATCCCGCCACAAGCACCCCGACAGGGAAGCCTCTTTGTCCTCAGTCTTGATATTCTCTCCACCGCACAAGGACACCAGAAGGCTTAGCCTAAGGAAATCCCTTCTTCTGCCTTCTCAGGCAGTACCAGCAGAGAACAATGGAAACCCCAGTAGTACCAAATAAAACTAGAACACAAAAATAACAGCTAAAAGTCTCTTAAAAAATTGCCATTGGATGCACAGCCTACAAAATTAGGTCAGGACCTGTGTGCTAGGTCTAAACAGAGTGACTATCTGCTAAAATTAAAGATTTAAACAGGACCTAAATTCCAGTTTATAGTTCTGTAATAGCCAAAATGTCCAAGATACAATATTTTAAAACTCTACCTGTTATAAATTATAGAACTGGAAAGTTCAGTAACAGAAATAAAATCTCACTGAATGGGCTCATTAGTTAAGTGGAGATGACCAAGGATGAAATCAATGAGCATGAGGACAGATCAACAAAATGTAGCCTATCTGAACAATGGGAGAAAACAGACTGAGAAACAATGCAAAGAACCTCGGGGACCTATGGGACAATAACAAGAGATTCAACTTTCATATCATCAGAGCTCCAGAAGAAGAGGAGAAAGAAAATAATGCCAAAGGGTATTTAAATAAATAATAGTTTAAAACTTCCCAAATCTGTTGAAAACATAAGCATATACAGGTTGAAGAAGCTGAATAAACCCCTTGCAGGATTAATCCAAAGAAATCCAAGCCAAGAAACATCATAATTTGATTAACATTACATATACTATTATACTATATAGCATGTGTATATATAAACACACAAACATAAATATATAGAGTAATATGCAGTTCAACTCCAAGGACAGTACGAAACAAAAAAAATGCATTCCAATATCTCTCATGAATATAGACAAAATATCCTCAATCAATTATTAGAAAATAGAATGCAATATGTAGAAAGAATTTACATAGGCCAAGTGGATTTATTTCAGGTGTACAAGACTACATAGACATTTGAAAATCAATAAATGTAATCTATCATATAAATAGAATAGAGAAGAAAAATTATATGATCGTATTAATTGAGGCAAAAAACAAATTTGATAAAATCCAACACCCGTTTATGATAAAAACTCTCAGCAAGCTAGGAATAGAGAGAAATTGTGTCAACTCAATAAAGATCATCCATAAAAATCTTCCAGGTAAATGCTTTCCTTCTAAGATTAGGAATAAAGCGTGGATGTCTGCTCTCACCACTTGTAGTAGGCAAGAAAAAGAAATAAATGGCACATATATTGAAAAGTAATAAATACAAATGTACTTATTTTCAGATGTCATTATCTATGTAGAAAACTCCCTGGATTCCACATAAAAATTCCTATAGCTAATACATGAGTTCAGTAAAGTGACAGGATACAAGATTAACACAAAAAATTAAATATTTTTAATAAACTATGAATATGTGAAAACCAAAATTAAAACACAATTTAATTTATAATCTCTCAAAATATGGAAATATCTGGCTGTAAATCTAAAAAAAATGTTTAGGAGTTGTATGCTAAAAACTTCAAGCACAGATGAAAGAAATAACAAAAGATTTACATAAAGTTAGAGACATATTATATTCATGGATTGTAAGATTTAACATAGTAAAGATGTCAATCCTCTCCAAATTGATATACAGGTTTAACACAATTCTTATCAAAATCCCAGAAATATTTCTTAGTAGACATAGATAGGATTATTCTAAAATGTGTATGTAAAGGCAAAGGAAATTGAATAGCTAACACAATTTGGAAAAAGAAGAATAAAAGTGGAAAAATCAAATTACTCAATGTTAAAGCTTATTATTTAACTATAGTTATCAGGTTTTGTATGGTATTAACACAAGTGATAGTGAAACAGATCAATGGAACAGAATAGAGAACCCATAAATCAGCCCACACAAATATGTCCAACTGATTTTTTATGAATGTGCAGAGTAACTCAATGGAAGCAAGACTGTCTTTTCAAGAACTAGTTCTGAAATAATTGGACATCCATAATAGAAAAGAAAAAACAAACTAAATTCAAATTTCACCTCATATACAAAAATTAACACAAAATAGATCATGGACTTATATGTAAAATGTAAAGCTACATATCTTCTAGAAAAAATAGAAAACAGTATTCAGGGTCTAGAGCTAGGCAAGGAGTCCTTAGATTTTCCACCAAAAGCATGACACATTAAAGGAAAAATTTTAGTTTGACCTAACCAGAAAAAAAAAAAGCTCTGCCAAAAGACTCTATTAAGAAAATGGAAAGACAAGCTGAAGACTGAAAAAAAGAAATACTGTTTCAAATCACATATCTGAGAGAACTCTCAAAACTTAATAGTATTCTTAAAAGTCCAAAAACATGGGCAAAAACTAGGAAAAGACATACAAACATAAACAGAAAATGATATATAAATGGCAAATTAACACAGGAAAAGGTGTTCAAAATCATTTTCATCAGCACAATGCAAATTAAAACCAGTAAAATGCTACAACACATCTATCAAAATAGATAAAATAAAAATAGTGACAACACCAAATGCTAGGGAGGATACAGAAAGACTGGATCATGAATATAAAACTGGTCAGGATATAAAATGGTACAACTGCTCTGGAGAGAGTATAGTCGTTTCTTACAAAATTAAACATACACTTACTATATGACCCAACAATTGCACGCTTTGGAATTTATGTCAGTACAATAAAAACATGTTCACACAAAAACTTGTATGTGAATGTTCATAGACTATTTGTAATAGCCAAAAACTGGAAATACCCCAAATGTCCTGCAATGGAGAAATGCTTACACAAACTGTGGTATATCCATACCATGGAATGCTACTTAGCAATAAAAAGAAAACAACAATTTGGTAAACTCTCCAGGAAATTACGCTTAATTTTTTAAAAAGTGAAATCCAAAAAATTATATACTGTATGATTCCATTTATATAACATTTTTGAAATAATATTTTAGAAATGGGGAAAAGATTGGTAGTTACAGTTGGAGAATGAAGTTGGAGAAGGAGCAGAAGAGAGGTGTGTGTGGTTATGAAAGGATACCAAGAAAGATCCTTGTGGTGGAGGAACTATTCTGTATTTTGACTATGATGGCAGATACAGGAACATGAGATAAAACTGTGTAGAATTAAACTCAGATACACAAAACAAATGAATACAAATAAAACTGGGGCTATCATTAAGATTCATGGGTTGTATCAGCATCAATATCCTGATTGTGAAACTGCTGCAATTTGTTACCATGGGGAGGAACCATGTAAAGGGAAAACAGCATCTTTGTGTATTTTTTCTTACAACTGCATATTGTAATCATACATAAGATTTTAATTAAATGGCAAATCATATTTGTACAAAGATCAAAATACTTAATAAATTATATGTGTTTGAGAATGGCTAAATAGGAATTTCTGATGATAATTTGTACTAGTTATATGCTGGGTAATTTTTTCAATAGCTCTCAAAGTTGAAAATTGTGAATCACATACTTTGTGTTATAATTTACCTGTAGATATTATTCAATGTGTGGAAATCATTATTATATACCATAATATTTATTTGAGTATTTTAAAAGCAAAAATTAGACAGAACCCTAAGAGCCAAAGTAGGGGATGAGGTGAATTATTACACCTATGAGAGAGAATAATATGCAGCTTTAAAATATATATATGTACATATATATACACACACAAAGAAAATAGCCAGGTGGATAGATACGGAAAGGTGCACAAATCATATATATGCAAATTTTTACATATGTACCTATATACATATAAATTATATATGTTATGAATGCCAAGGTGACTTGTTAAATGATATAATCAAGATGCAGCACAATGTGAGTAGTATGCTAAAACTTCTGTTTAACATTTTTTTCTATACGCACATGTACTTCTGAATGGACATAAAAGAAACTGATAACTGTTGTAGTCTCTAGGAAGAGAAACTGGCTGTCAAGGAAACAAAGGCAGAAGAAATACTCTTTTTAGTATATTTTGAATTTTGTACCATGTTCATATATTATGTACTCAAAAAAAGAAATTATTTTCTTTAAAAATAAGCATGGCAATACTATGCACAAATATATAGTTGTGAAAAAGAGCAGTGAACTGAGCATCTAAAATATTTAGGCCCAGTAATATTATGTATAAATGGCAGTGTATATGACAAGTACAGTCTGTTTTATAGATGGCAAAGTGGAGACTGTGACTTACTTTGGACTAGAAAGTCGTTACTTCGGCATCTGTTTTACAGATTATACTTGTCATACGCACTTCTCTGTTTTATCAAATCAAAGGCACTATTCCATTTATTCTTTTTTTTTTTCAAGACTGTCTTGCTCTGTCACCTAGGCTGGAGTACAGTCATGCAATCTTGGCTCACTGCAACCTCTGTCTCCTGGGTTCAAGCAATTCTCAGGCTTCAACCTCCCAGATAGCTGGGATTACAGGTACGCATCACCACACTGTGCTAATTTTTGTATTTTAGTAGAGACAAGGTTTTACCACGTTGGCCAGCCTGGTTTCTAGTGCCTGATCTCAAGTGATCTGCCCACCTCGGCCTCCCAAAGTGTTAGGATCACAGGTGTAAGCCACCATGCCTGGCCACCATTTATTCTTATAGGTAGAATTTTGCATGTCTGTCTACTCATTGGAATATCAGATTATTAGAGGTGAAAGAAACTGAAAGTATCTTATTCTTCATATTCTTACAGTTCCTATACCATGTAGAAAAACAGAACAATGGTGTAGAAAAATAATCTATAGAATAAAATTGGTCACTTATTCTGGCTATCCATGTACTCTTACAAATGACTGTTATTCTAATATAATAATTAGTAAATATGAAATAAATTCCAAGAAAAAATGAACATAATATTGAAAGAAAGACAAATAGTAATATCTTTAAGTGACTTTGAACTAGTGACTTTGATATCATAACTACATGTCTTCCAAGTATAAAATTTATTCTGGCTATATAGCTTCTAAGAGGGAGATCTCTTGTCTAACCCCCACTCTGAGTTCTAGACTTACCTAATTTCATATTTGACTCTCCACTTGAATTCACACAAAAGCTTGTATTCATATATTCATAGAATCTTTATTCATAACAACCCAAAACTGGAAGTAGCCCAAATGTCCTTCAATGGAGGGATGGTTGAATTCTTTACTGAATTACAAAAATCAACACGTCAAACAGAACGCATCCTCTTTCCAAGCATGCTCTCACAGTGTTTCAACGTAGTGAACAGAATAAAAACCATCTAGTTGTTCAAACCAGAAATGTGAGAACCACATTGATTTCTCCTTCGCTTCAATCCACTCTCTTTAAGTCAGTCATCAAGTCTCTGAAACATCCCTCAAATTCACGTCTCTTTATCCACACTGCCGCTATCCTGGCCCAAGTCATGATTGCCTTTAAACTTAACTACTTCAAAGCAGCCCTACAGTTCTTTTCTTCCCCTACTCTCAAGCCATCTTCATAGTGTAACCAGAATGATTGTTTAAAGGCCTGCGTTACAGTATAAATTTCTATGTGAAACATTTCAGTACCTTCCAACTGGACAAGCTTACAAACCCTCCATGAATGTCTGTGGCTTATCTCTTCAGTCTCACCTTTTATATTACTTGGATGTGATCCTACTGGATATCTTCCAATTCCTCAAATATATCAAGGTGTCCCTTGACAGGGACTTCATTCATGCTTGTCCTCCCTGGATCACTCTTTACTTCCCCTGTCCCTTTTTTTTTTTTTTTTTTTTTTTTTTTTTTGAGACAGAGTCTTGCTCTATCGCCCAGGCTGGAGTGCAGTGGTGCGATCTTGGCTCACTGCAAGCTCCGCCTTCCCGGTTCACGCCATTCTCCTGCCTCAGCCTCCTGAGTAGCTGGGACTACAGGCGCCCACCACCACGCCCGGCTAATTTTTTGTGTTTTTAGTAGAGACGGGGTTTCACCATGTTAGCCAGGATGGTCTCGATCTCCTGACCTTGTGATCTGCCCTTCTCGGCCTCCCAAAGTGCCGGGATTACAGGCGTAAGCCACTGTGCCTGGCCTCCCGTCCTTTAATGTAAGAAAATATCTATTTATCCTTTGGGTTTCAGCCTATCTCAAATTAAGTTAGACCCTATTATGATACCCTTCTATAGGTTTCTGTACTTCCATTTGTCTGATAATCATTATTATCCTTCTTCAGCTACTTTCTCCTATCATTAAACTCTAGATTTATTACTCATTACTCACTAGTCATTAATAACTTCAACCCTTCATGATCTCAGTAATAAGCATCCTAGACTCCAACTACCACCAGGTAAATTCATAATTTACTCTCTGCAATACCACAAATCCTATAATCTTTATCCCCTAAATTACAGTTATTCTATTTCATGTTCTTTACTACTCTCATGTACTCACACTCCTCCTTACTCATCTTAAGTTCCATATGCATATTTATAGTCACTTTATAGTAGCATATATCCTTACATCCCTTGACCAATTTGTGCTTCATGTCTTTACCTGGAAAAAGTCAAACCACTCTCTACTTACTCCGCATCTAAACATTTGCAGCTGAACACGATTGGAGGAAAATGCACCTGTGCTCACTTGCCTAGATCTAAATTCATTAATACTCAACTGCATTGAAATCTTGGGAATGCCATTGACTCAGCCACCAGGCCCACCCACCTGATGACCCAAGCACTAAGCCATCCTGCCCAGGACTCCAGGAACAAACCTACTTCCAGACCACGCCATATGACCTGCCCAGAATCTCTGGATAGGCTGATGCATGAAGGGCGTTCCCTGCCGAAACAGTCTGTAAAGACTGGAATATATGCCTATTTCTTCAGATGCACAGACACCAATGCATGACCACAAGGATCATGAGCAATAAAAAAAAACCCTGAAATCTTAGAGATGCCAATCAATTACATATTTCCCTTTCTCTTTACAGCCCATACCTCTAACTCTTCTCTCTCATCCTCTCTCTCGGAGAGTGACATTGTTTCTTTTATTTTGGAAAAGTAAAGGCAGTCAGAAGAGAGTATCTCCAAGTTTCATCCTAGTATCTACCCACAGTTTTGTAACTGTGTTCATATACTGTGCATTCACTCTGTTTCTAATGGTTTCATAATTGATACTCCTGATGAAGACCACCTCTTCCACCTGTGTCCAAGAACCCATTCTCTCTCATCTTCTAAGAACACTGCTCCAGTTATTTTCTCATCTCTGTCTTAAATCATGAAAATTTTCCTCTCCTGTACTACCTTTCTACCTCCATTCCATTTCTGTGTTCCCCTTTACAATTAAATTCTGTAAACATTTGCCTATACCAGCTGTTTGCAATCCTCTTTCCATTCCCTCCTACACCTATACCAATTAAAATTTTACCCTCACTCTTCTACCAAAATTTCTTTTATAAACAACACCAATAACAATTACATTAACAAATCAAAAAATGAAGATTCCTCCATTTTTATCAAAGGACATGGCAACACAGAACATAAACATGTATATTTGTAGAAAAAGTAATGGTTTTTAGCCAATAGGTACAGGTTTTTCCACAATTCATTTTTGGCATGACCTGCTCTCAATGGCATTAATAATTCTTATTGATTAATTAGCATCAGTAAGTAGTATTGAATATTTAATTATAAGATTGGTGAATTGACACAAAAACCTAGGAGCTGTATTCCGTGGGTATAGATACAGAATAAATGTTCAAAGTGAAATTATTGATAGTGGAGAGAAGAGAATTAATTTCAGGAATCATAAACATAGCTGAAGGACATTGTAACGGATGCATATAATTAAGGGTTTGGGATGTACGCTTGTGAAACTACATAAGTAAATACTTTATACAACAGTTTCGAAATTATTTTTTCCTAAATAATTAACACCATCCCTCTTCTACTAAAAATAATACTACTGCAAAGTTATATAATTATCTAACATTAAATACAATCTAATATATTATCTAACACGAATTGGAATCTGCTACTTTTATGAAAACTGATTGTGATAGATACTAAAAGGTTACTCACCTATTTTTTTTTA
The DNA here is from genome assembly GCF_000001405.40 of Homo sapiens. Taxonomy (NCBI): domain Eukaryota; kingdom Metazoa; phylum Chordata; class Mammalia; order Primates; family Hominidae; genus Homo; species Homo sapiens. Next base: position 653,816 of record NT_167246.2, read on the forward strand.
CTTCTCCCTCACTTCCTTTTCCCTTTATTTCGTCTCTTTGTAACACAAATATACACACACTACCACTATCTCCATTAAACAGTCGTACACACTCAGACACTTAACTATAACATACATCTATACTTGATCATAGAGTCTGCTGCCCTGAAACCAAAAAAAGTCCAAAAAAAGCATAAGTAAATAGATCAGGAAATTTGAAGCTTCCCTCATAAATGTTTTATGTAATGAGCCCACCTGTTGCATCCTGTAATCTTCATAGCCTATATTCAAAGAGGTTCCTCCATCACTCTAACCCACTCATTCCAGTGATCTCAACCTCTTTTCATCAAGAGTTTTTCTCTACTATCATAATATCATTTTTCTATTTAGTCTAAGCCAATTTGCTCTGCACATTCCTTTGCACGTATCTTAGTATAAATATAATTTTTGTGTCAAAAGAGTTATCCAAATATCATAGATCAGATGTATTTATTGTGTCCTTGAATAAAGTTATCAGAGAAAGTTCTGACTGCTCAAAACCTATTATAAACACCCTTATTGAAAACAACTTACATGGAATCTAAGCAAATCTCATGTCTTATTATGGACAGAAAATGAACAGGCTAAATCTTCTCAGTAAACCTTCCCAGTAGCATCTTGAGCATTAACACTTTGGGATTTTCTCTCCAAGGACTTATTCTCTTTATATTTCTCTTCCCCTGTGTATCAGTTTATTCCTTCTTTGATGTGCTTATGAGATCACTACATTGATTTAAGTAATAATAATAAATTTTTGGCAGAGCCCTTCATTAGTCATAAGAAAAAAAGAGTGATGATAATATAAAAGAAAGAGAAGACACAGCTCCTATCCTTGAGAAATCTAACATCTAATGAATCTGAAAAGTAATATCACTTAGAACAATATAATGAAAACTAAAAATGATTAATTATAAACTGAGGTCTACAGATATTGAAATGGAAAGATTTAAGCAAATTATGATCAAACAGGGAAGACTAAACAGTGGAGATAAATTTGGTTAACATACTTTTAGGGATTAGTGTTTATATAGATTCTTGGAAGAGACAACTTTATGTATGGAGCCCATTGAAATAATTAAAAACATCTAACTAAAGTCATTATTTGTACTATTATGATCAATGTTCTTTCTTACTGTGAATAAAGAAATGGTAAATTTCCTGAGCCCTATGTTAATTCATGAACAACCAATAAAATCAATTTTATGATTTACTAGAAATATCTCCAAAGTTTTAATTTCAACTATCGCTGTTACTTTAGGGTAAGTGTCAAAGACAAGTCATGTTAACACACAGATTAGTTGTAGGATGAGACTCACTGAAATAGCTCTTAGGAAACTGGGTCTTAGACAATTTAGTTTTCAACAAATTGGCCTATTCCCCTTCAAAGTCCCATACAATGGAGAGTTATGCTGCCAATATGGCCATGAAAGCTCCTTAGAGGAATAAAATGCAAAATAAATAAAACAAAAACTAAACATCCTAGAGAATGATTAAAAGCAAGCATATTTGTGAGTGGAATCAAAGATAGAAAAAAGGGATAGAGAACTAGGTGGGGTTTTTTTTCCTGATATCTGTATCTTTGGTACAGTTCTTATTCATAACCTAAATTGTTTTCCTGATTTCTTTGTATAATTTTTAAATACTGTCTGGTATCTCACTGAGCTGTTTTAGTATCAAAATTTTGAATACTCTGCCTGGGATTGTTGACATTTCTTTTTTATTGGGATCTGTTGCTGGAGAATTATTGTGTCCTTATGTTGATATCTGCATATCTAGTATAACAGTTACTTTTTTAAATTTTTTGAATTTGCTCTCATGGGGAGGACTTTTTCCAGAAGATGTATCTAAGGTGTAGTTTGGGTAGGGTTCTCTGGTTTTGATTCTGGGTGTGTACAATAGTGCAGTCTCTGTATGATTTCTTCATCTGTAAACAGTGTCAGTGGTGTCTGTGATTTCTTTGGTGGCTTAGGATATGGTTGTTAGTGGAGGCTGTGCTGAAGTCTTGCTAAGAACTGAGATGCCAGTTGGGCCAGTCTTCGGCTTCCATTGGTAGAATCAGTGGGATGAGCATGTGTGTCCTTGGGCCCCAGGGCAGCATACACTGGCACCAATGTTAGCGGGTTTAGGCAAGACAGTTCTTGTGCTTCCAAGTGGCTTGCTTGGCTTCTGGGAATGGCATCAGTAGTTCAGGTATGAAGTTGAATTCTTGAGCCCTTTGGCAGTGGATGTGGTGTGGGTGATGGCAGTAGCAGTGGTGGGACAGCCCTCTGGGACCCGTGTAGTCCATGCTGATATTGGCAATGGCTGTGACAGGTTGGGCAGGTCAGTTCCCAGATCCACAGGAGGCACATGAGTGTGGATGTCAGCTGTGGTGCCAGGGGAAGGTTGAGTGGGGCTGACCTCAGATCCCAGGAGGGGTGCTGAGGAGCTACCAGTGATGGACTGGGCTAAGTGACCCTCGGGCCCCTGTACGGTGTGCTCAGATTCTGTGGGTGGGTGAAGCCAGGCTGAGTAGACCTTCCCATGGGCTCCTTGGTGGTGTATGAGGCACTGGCTATGGTAGGCAGGGGCAGGGGGATCCCCAGGCCACAGATGGAATGCTCAGATAGGAGTGGTAGTGGCTGTTTTGTGGTCATGGACTGGGGAGGACTGGGTTGCTTTTCCTGGGAACAACCATAGGCAAGAAACTGGGGAGGCATGGGCTTTGCTCATGCCTCTGCCCCACAGTAGTTCATCATGGCAGCAGTTGCAGGCAGTGAAATTTGTCCTCAGGGCAAGTAAAAATGTGTCGTTGTCCCTCTGGTCGGGGTAACGGGAGGTGGGATTACTCCCTAGGGCTCTTGCCTCGGTCTCAGAAGCAGAGTAAGATGCAGTGCGTTGGGATCTGTGCTGTCAAAATGGTGCCGTGCTGCAGTTAGTTAGGACTTAGGGTTCGTGGGACCCAGTGTGAGGTTCTTTCTTGGGTAGCGCCTTCACGTGGTCTCCAGGCAGCTCCCTATGTTAGTCTCAGGGGCTACGATGGTTGAGGGGATCTCCTGTGGCTAGAATTGTAGGTATCTGTGGTGAAATGTGGGCTGCTGGGAGTCTCCCCCTTTCCCTTTTCCCACATTGGAGAGCCGCTCGAGACTCATATCCGATCTTGGTTGAACAGGCGGTCTCATTTCCTTCTCCTTTGCTTTTGGTGCTTCCTGGTCACTTCTCTGCTGACTTTCGGTGTTCTCTCTTAGATGATCTATTCAACGTGTGATTATTGACTGGTTATTTTGGTTACTTTACATGGAAGGGCCAAGTACCAGATGTATCAAGTCAGCCATGTTGGAGCCTCTCCAGCTCCATTCAAGGGGCCTGTTTTGAGTTGGCCCTAGGCCTTTCCCCGTAAGCAAACTTTCTATAACATTGAAATTACTTGGGAAAAAAAGCTGTCAAAAGACTTTGAGGGTGTTTTGTTTTGTTTTGTTTTGTTTTGTTTTGTTTTGTTTTATGGCGTCTCACGCTGTCACCCAGGCTGGAATACAGTGGCAATCTCTGCCTCCCAGGTTCAAGCAATTCTCCTGCCTCAGCCTCCTGAGTAGCTGGGATTACAGGCGTACACCCCCATGCCCAGCTAATTTATGTATTTTTAGTAGAGATGGAGTTTCACCATGCTGGCCAGGCTGGTCTGGAACTCCTGACCTCAAGTGATCCACCTGCCTCGGCCTCCCAAAGTGCCGGGATTACAGGCGTGAGCCACTGCACTCAGCCAACTTGGAGGTATTTTGGGGAAAAAAAAGAAGTAATGATTTTTCCTAACTTATGAGATATTAAGACCTACAATAACATCATATTACTTAAATTACAGCTTATTCAATGGAAAAAATAGTAAGTGGAGAAACAAACCATGTATTGAGGGGAACTTGGAATAGTATAAAGATGGCCTCACAAATCGATGAAGAAGGAATGGTTAGTCGGTCTACATAGAGACAACCAGAACCAAGACTAGCTGATTATCTCACAGGATATGTAAATATAACCTCTAGAAGACTAGAGTCCTAAATGACAAATATAAAACTCTAAATCTAATTAACAGAACCAGTTACATAATCTTTAAGTTTCAATGCAAGATAAAAAATGATAAAATTGAAGTGGGGGACATTTTGAAAAAATGGAAATTACATTGCAGTGATCCCTAAAACTAAAGAGCCTTATTTTGAATCCTAGTTTCACAATCCATTGCAAGGAAAAGGAAACTTTACTTAAATCCTTTGAGCCTTGGTTTTCTTGTAGTAAAGGAATAATTTTAATACTTTTACATTGGGTTTTTGTGAGAATTAAATGAGCTAATATATGTGAAGAACTCAGAACAATAACTTATACATAATGAGCATGCAATAAATGTTATTTATTTATAATATATTAGCAGTATATAAAATAAGGAATTATTTGTATGTGGAATGGCTCATACCTATAATCCCAAAATTTTGGGGGGATGATATTGGTGGATTGCTTGAGACCAGGAATTAGAGGCTGCAGTGAGTTATGATTGCATCACTGCACTCCAGCCTGGATGACAGAGCAAGACTCTGACTCAAAACAAGAAAAAAAATTAAAGATTTAAAAAAAAAAACAAAATTAAAAAATTAAAATAAGATATTATTGTGATAAATATATATAATAAACTTTTGCCAAGCAACAAAAATGGAAACTCAATAGAAAGATGGAAAAAATACATCATAGTTACAACTGTTAGTAGAATCCTTGGATTGATGGAAGGTCACGCATAGATACCCTGGTGTAATTCAGACAGAATTTTCTTACCTAAAAAATAGCAAAAAGTAATGCTACACATTGGTAAGACCAAAATCCTTATCCCAAACAGAGAAAAATGTGAGCTTTTGGACCCCAAAATTAATTATTTAAAATAATTTAGTATTATTAGCAACAGTGAAGAGTAAGATGTAGAAGGTACAAAAGTAATACTATTTCTCTTTATGTCTCTTTCTTTGGTTTTCATAGAACCACAGTAGAATATTAAAGATAATCATCTTTCTGTACTGATCAATGGAATGTGGGTGACCATATTTATTAATTTTTATTGCCAATTTTCTTTCACTTTATATACCAAAATATTTTCCAAGGGAGCCCTCAAGAAGAGAAAGTGAATCTGAACCTCTACCATAGGAAATGAAAGGAAATTTGACTAGGAAAAAGTATTTTAAATAAACAAATAAATATTTTAAAAAACAGTATTGTGAAAGGTCAAATAAAATATTGGGTTACTATTTTAAAGAAAAAATCCAGCAAATATATTAAGCTATTGAAAACTGTCTTGTCCATGGTTATGAAACCAAGGAACAAACATATTAAGAAAAAAAGATAAGAAGAACGACAACAACAGAAAAGTGGAATTCTACAGAGAAATTCCATATGGCTATCCCCTTATGCTGCAGGTGCAGAGAGACCTCCTGTTTATTCTCACGACAATCCTTCTCAGCACCCAGGGGACAGTTTCTCTCAGGTTTTTATGTCTAGAGATCTGCAGCTCATTGGAAGGCAGGCAGATTTTCAGAGAGGAAAAGATTTTTGAAGATAATTTATGCTGCAATCCCAACATCAACCATCACTTCAAATATTTTTCTATTTATAATCACTGGGAGTATAAATCTGAAAAGCTCTTTTACCTGTGATTCTGAACTCTCAATCCGGGTGAGAGAATAGAATAGGAGACAGGTTGGGAAGCTGCTCGTATTTTTTATCTGTTAATGAGTGACCTGACTGCTTGCGAGTATTAAAGTTAGATGCCCAGGATTTAGAGCTGGTTTCCTATTTTTATGATGGAGTCTTCATTGTAGTTGTAGATTATGAAAGCATTTTGTTTTCCGCACTTTTATTGCCATATCTCCTTCTCTATTCAACATGCCTGGCTCTCTAGATATTCGCTAAAGCAAATCTGAAATCCCTAAATATTGAAATTGCAGTGAAAGAAATATTTTCGTACAGAGAAGTTGGCTAAACAACATTCTTTAAACGTTAGGAAAATGTTGTTTTATTATTTATTATTTTTTAAATTTTCTTTTTACCAAATAGATTTTTGATACAATTTTATTTTATGGGTCAGAGAACCAAAAATAATATTTTATCTATCATTTGTACTTTTAAAAGACATGGTAAAAGTTTTGAAAAATATGCAACATACATGGCTATCAAATAAAGCTACTTTAAATTGTTTGGAGGCAGTCCTTCATGGAGGTGTGGTAAAGGTTAGATAATCTCTCAAAATTTCCTCTAGCTGTAAAGCCAAATATCCTATGGGCTCCCTAGAGATGTTTCCTAGTTCATTATTTTTTTTAACTTTAGTCACACCAAATCCTTTTCTTCTCTCATCAGCAATTTTTCAACCTCGAATTATTCCCCATTTATAGGAAACACTCTAATGTCTGCATCTTTCTTCTGATTTCCTATTGGTTCTTATTCTTTTCTAAGTGCCTGCCATTTCTATGGATTTCCCACACATTCTTGCTTCTTTTCTCCTAATATGCAAAAGTTAATCCACTACATTTGTACAAGAAAGGAACAAACAGGAAGCTATTTCACAAAATTATGTCTGCTTTTGTCAGTGCACCTATAGAAGATAATCCCAAGTACTTTGCAAATAATGTTAGAAAAAACCTTCAAAATATATTTCTGCCTTTCAGTAAACAGTATAAATTTAGTCAAATATTAAACCTCATTATAATTATCTTACTTATAATCCCTCATGTGTTTTAACAGTTACTGAAAAAATTCTATTATTTCAATTCTGCAAAAGAAAGAAAAATGAATACATTTCTTTCATAGAAAATGGAAATTTTATCTGATGGAAAGAAGGGGCAAATAGAGAAAACACATTTTACAAATGAAAAAGGCTAGAAATGTGTGGCAACTTTGGAGAGAACTGGTATGAAGCCAACAGACCTCTGGGTTGATGGAGGAGAACCTGACTGTCAGTGTCACATTGATGAAACTAGAAGAAAAGAGAAAATTCACTTGGATACAATGTTTCTTCACATCTAAAAAGTGAGCTTATTTCAGGCAAAATAAAAATAAGACTTAAGAAAATGCATCACAAGAGAAGACAGAACTTTCAGTGGTCTAAATTCTTAGATACTTTAGAAGAAGACACTATTGGGTAAAATGAAGGAAGAATTGTTGAGTCTATTGGAAGAGTTTTTCTTATTCAGAGATTCAGGGGTGTGAAAAAGGAAAAAGTCTCAGTGCAACTGGAAACTAAAGGAACAATAACATTTGTCATCAAGTAAGTAATTTGGGATTTACTTTGAAAAAATTTAAAGGCTTAGGTAGAAGAAACTAAGCACATTATCTGATATAGCAGTGATAAAACTTCAAATATACCTCAGGCTAATATTTGATTGATGTATTATTTTTTCCTTTCCCAGTAGAGCTCCATGACATTGCCAGAGATGTGGGTTAGAAAGAGATCAGTAAGAGAACATCTCCAGCCTCATCTACGTTCTAAGATGAGAACAAAATAATTACTACTATTTTAAAGAGGTTTTTATATCTCTTTAAAGACTTTGTGATTATAATGAGTTCATTTTTATCTTCCTCTCTTAAGTCAAAAAATTTCAGGAGCCATTTTCCTGGGTCAAGAGATATCCAAGTGGTGGTGCACTTAAAAACTGCCCCCTATTAACGCTGACTTGGGATAGGAAAGGAAAGTTGTAACAGAATACGGATGTATTCTTCTCAACCAGAGAAGATGTAAGTTAGCAACATGTTCTAAATCCCCAGAAGAAAGAAATACGTTAATGATAAACTTAATTTTAAAAAGTGGTTAAGTCATAGTCCATAATATGCATGAATCCTTAATATTGAAGAGACCAACAGCTAAGCTTCTATACAACTTCTGAGGTTTGGAAGAAGTACAACAGTACTCTCCTTCCAAGTATCTTTGGCTTGGTGAGAAAATTCTGAGCCGGAAGGATTCTGATTGCGATTAGTGTTCCATAGATTATTTTGTCTTTTGTCTGAAGTGATGCTGAATACAACCTCAGTCACCGAATTTCTCCTCTTGGGAGTGACAGACATTCAAGAACTGCAGCCTTTTCTCTTCGTGGTTTTCCTCACCATCTACTTCATCAGTGTGACTGGGAATGGAGCCGTTCTGATGATTGTCATCTCCGATCCTAGACTCCATTCCCTTATGTATTTCTTCCTGGGAAACCTGTCCTACCTGGATATCTGTTACTCTACGGTGACACTGCCAAAAATGCTGCAGAACTTTCTCTCTACACACAAAGCAATTTCTTTCTTGGGATGCATAAGCCAGCTTCATTTCTTCCACTTCCTGGGCAGCACGGAGTCCATGTTGTTCGCCGTGATGGCATTTGACCTCTCTGTGGCTATCTGCAAGCCACTTCGCTACACTGTCATCATGAACCCTCAGCTCTGTACCCAGATGGCCATCACAATCTGGGTCATTGGTTTTTTCCATGCCCTGCTGCACTCCGTAATGACTTCTCGCTTGAACTTCTGTGGTTCCAACCGTATCCATCATTTTCTCTGTGATATTAAGCCATTGCTAAAGCTGGCCTGTGGGAACACTGAGCTTAATCAGTGGCTACTCAGTACTGTCACGGGGACAATTGCCATGGGCCCCTTCTTTCTGACACTTCTCTCCTATTTCTACATTATCACTTATCTCTTCTTCAAGACCCGTTCTTGTAGCATGCTCTGTAAAGCACTGTCCACTTGTGCCTCCCACTTCATGGTAGTTATTCTTTTCTATGCACCTGTTCTTTTCACCTATATCCATCCTGCGTTAGAGAGCTTCATGGACCAGGACCGGATTGTTGCCATCATGTACACTGTGGTCACTCCTGTACTAAACCCACTGATCTATACTTTGAGGAACAAGGAAGTGAAGGGGGCCTTGGGTAGAGTGATCAGAAGGCTTTGATTTGAATAAACCAGAGAACTCTACTGAGGCATAAATAACCAGCAATGAAAAAGTAGAGATGTGTAATTTTACTGCTTCTCAGATGGTTTATAAGTGTAAAATAGAGGCAACTGGATAAAAGAAAAAAAAGTCCAATCTAGTTGTAGTAAACAATACATTTCTAAGTAATATGAGGAATACTTGAAAATGCAAGACACTAGCCATGGAACCCTAATGCTGAAAATTTTTTGGAATATCAGTTGATGTAATTGACTTATTATGTATTCTAACATGTACTTGTATGCAATTGCATGTAGAATTTTGCCTATATTGCCCATGTATTGTATAGATAGATGATATTTAGGACTGTTTGTCTGTGAGATCCTTTTAGTTTAACACATTTTAGTCTGATCAATAAAATTATTATGCTTTTTTATTTTAAGGATTGTCATGTAGGGCTATGTTTATTCAATTGGAAAAGTAAATGCTAACTTGCATATTATTTAAATAAATTTTAAAGAGGTATGTCATGATTTCTTTTCAGTTCGGTTGGTTTTTGTTCTTTTAATGGTGATTCAAAATGCAAAAGACATAGAAAGATGTCAAATGTTTCTCCCCATCTCTGCCCTCCGTCACTGACTTACTCTTCATATACAATCAATTTAATCAGTTGTTATCTGTCCTCACAGAGATCCTTTATGCTACACAGTCAAATACAAATATTTTCTTTAAAAAAGAATGGCAATGAACAATACATGTTATATGAGCAAACCAATGTTGAGGGCAATGTGTATCTTGGAGATCTTTCCCTATTAGAACATAGAGCTTCTTTATTTTTTTAACATGCATGGTATATGCCACTTTGTTCATGTATTATATTTGATAGATCAGTCTCCTATCATTGGACATCTATGTTATTTCCAATCATATGTTGCAGTGTATAATCTTGTGTACACGTCATTCTATATATGTGCAAGTCTATTTGTAGGACAAACTTCCAGACATGGAAATGTTAGGTCAAGAGATATCGTTATTGTAATTCAGATAGATACTGCCAAATTGCCCTCCCCAGAGGTTATAAAAAATTTCATCACCACTTGCAATGTAAAAGTGTTTAGATTTTACACTACATTGAATATGAATAATGCCAATGACTTATTTTGTAGATGCTTCCCTGAAAATATTCTACTTTTACAGCCTGGTTATGTAAAAAATGACATCCTAAAGACACTTTCCATAACATGGAAGTCTGCATAATTCTGCCATTGTTATAGAAAGTTTTCAGACTATTTGAAGCCCAAGCAAGATGGCAACTGGGAGAAAGGAAAAGCTAAGATTACAGCAATTCTTGTCATTGTTAGCTGGCACACAGGCAACATGAAGTGTTTTCCCCTACTTCAGCATAAAATACTTAAAACTTTCCTCTTACTACACCAACAGTTATTCATGTGAAAAATTAATCAATTGTGTTGTTTATTATTTTAATCAAAAAAAGCTCTACAGGTGTTAGATTTATGAAAGTCCTGCACAAAATAAAGGAAAGGTGCCCTAAAAGACCCACCGTTTAACTAAAGAAAATGAATCTCACACAGAGGACATGCTGCAGAGAGAATGAGCTACTGAAACACACTAGAATGTTTCATTTCTTTTATGACACAAAAAGAATAGGAAAGAGTGGAAAAAGGGAACAAACTTTTACTAAAAGTTGACAATTTTATTTTTACATTTTATAATACAAATGAAAAATGCTTTTTACTTGGTCCAGAGAGGCTAATAAGTAATTAAATTGAATGACATTGCAACCACTAATTAAGAGATAAAACAACCAATTGTTCAGCTAAGAGTTCTGGTACCTATATCTTCAGAGATGTTTTAGAAGTCAACTGGCCAGACTTCAAGGATTACTATGAAATACCATTAAAAGTGGAGCTAGGTAAAACAAACAAACAAACAAAAAACACCTCAAGAATCACTTTGTATCTCATTAGAGTGTTATAACCACTCGTATCTCTCCACCCTTGGTCATGAAAGATGATGACTTTAAACACTCTATTATTTTGGTTTCGTTTTCCTTTATCTGTCCTTATTTTGACAGACTGTAATGCATGTAATATGATGAAATACAGGTGAAATACAAAAAATTCATGAAAATTTATTTTTCTTTTCCTTTGGTACCAAACTCATACTAAGTGAAAACAATGAAATCATAACTGTGGAAGTATTTCTGGAGCTAATAGACAAGAATAGGTATGATGTTTCTTAGTTTCTAAGTACTTAGAAATGGATTCTGGCTCTGAAAAGATGTGGTATGCCAACATTTGTAACTATTTAGAGATACAAATAGACAAGACTATGGAAGCTAAGTTGAGCGGGTGGGCTGACTATTCAAAACCTCTGCCTTCACTTTTGCAAACCCAAACGATCTGACCTCTCTCTGGTACTTCTTCTATCTTCCAAGTCAACCTTCTTTGGTCCTTCAGTTCCAGTTTTGTTGATGAGAGAATGCCTGTGTGGAGAAGACACTATCCACCTGAACTATCTCAGACTATCACTTCTGTTGCTCAGAGTTTATTGCATAATCCCATCTACATGGAAGCTGTGAACTGTAGGAAAACACATGGGTTCTAGTTATCTACTGCTGCATAACAAATAGTAGCCTAAATCTAAATGGCTTAATTTATTTAATCAAATCCCAGGATTCTGTGGGTCAGAAATTGGGGAGGGCACAGCAGGAAAGGGTTGACTATGCTCAGTGATATCTGGATCTGCTCTCTCTCTCTCTCTCTCTCTCTCTCTCTCTTTCTCTCTCTCCAGTTTCTCAGTTGACTGTCATGTGCTTCTTTAACAGGGAAGCCTCGGGACAGACTTTTTCATGGGGGACAGCAAACCAAGACAAAAATTGTTAGTTGTCTCAAAGACAAAAACCAAGAACCAGCATTAACATAACTTCTATCATACTCTATTGGCCAAAGAAATCGCAGGCCAACTGAGCTTCTGTAACCTTCAATGGAAAGAGTGTCAAAAATTGTGTGGACATCCTTAATCTACCACAGTCCCATATCTAACCACTAATAATTCATGTTGTTCCCATATGCAAGGTACACTTACTCCTCTTCCTAATAATCTTAAAATCTCATCCCTTTATAGCATCAGCTCAAAGTCTAGGTTTTTAAAATCCAAATCATGACAAAGTGCAAATGGGGCATATTTAGTATGATTCCTCAAGAATGGTTCCTTTTGACCTGAAGACCTTTGAACTTGAAGAAGTCAGGTTATCTTCCTGTCACACACTCAGCACATAATGATAAAGTAGATATAAGATGACAGTAATAGAAAATGTTACTCCAAAAGAGAAAAAATGGGAGGCACATAACAGTTACATAGCAATTGTGAAACCCATTTGGGGACATTTTTCTCACTCCGTCCTCTAGAGTCTAAGATGATGCAATTGAAACTGATGATACCAATAAAATTCTCTCTCTTCTTCTTCTTCTTTTTTTTTTTTTTTTTTTTTTTTTTTACACGGATCTCACTCTGTCACCCAGACTGGAGTACAGTGGGACGGTGCAATCTCGGCTCACTGCAACCTCCACCTCCCAGGTTCAAGTGATTCTCTCAACTGAGCCTCCTAAGTAGTTGGGATTACAGGCATGTGCCACCATGCCCGGCTAAATTTTGTACTTTTAATAGAGACAGGGTTTCCACCGTGTTGCGCAGGCTGGCCTCAAACCCCTGATTTCATGTGATCCACCCACATGAGCCTCCCAAAGTGCTGGGATTACAGATCTGAGTCACTGTGCCTGGCCCACCAATAATATTCCTTTTAAAATATTTTAGGTTCTTAGGATTCTTATTTGGGTTTAGTCAATTAGATAAGTACCACACTCATACATCTCCTTAGGACAGGCCTTTCTCTGACTTGGGCTGACAATTAGTGTACTGTGAGACAACACCCTTGAGATTTCTCTCTGTCTGTCTTCATGCCAGTAGAATACTGTTTTATTTACTGTACCTTTGCAACATCTTGGGAAGTCAAGAAGAGTGATACCATCTGCTTTGCTATTCTTTCTGAAGATCACTTGGGCTATTTGAGGTCTTTCTTGAATAGTTTTTTCCATTTCTGTAAAAAATGCTTTTGGGATTTTGATAGTGATTGCATTGAATTCATAGACAAGTTATGGTAGTGTGGACATTTTACAATTTTAATTCTTCTAAGCCCTGAACATAGGTTATGTTTCTATTTATTTGAGTCTTCTTCAATTCCTTTCATCAATGTTTTTACAGTTGCCAGTGTACAAGTCATTCACTTCCTTGGTTAAGTTTATTGCTAAGCATTTTATTCTTTTTTATGCTATTTTAAATGAAATTGTTTTGGTTCTTCCTTTTCTGATAGCTCAGAAAAGCTAGATTGTTAATGTATAGGAATGCAATTGATTTTGTATGTTAATTTTATATTCAATTTGAATGCCTTCCATTTAATTAAAATAGTATAGTACTGAGATAAAGACAGACATACAAGCCAATAGAACAGAATGGAGAGTCCAGAAATAAATGCACATATATATAGTAAACTGATCTTGGACAAGATTGCTGAGAACACACAATGGAGAAAGAATAGTCCCTTCAATAGATGGTGTAGAATAAACTACATAGAGAAGAATGAAATTGGACCCTATCTCATACTATATACAAAATCAACTCAAAATGGATTAAAGATTTAAATGTAAAACTCCTAGAAGAAAAAGAATAAGGAGATAACTTCTTGATGTTGGTCTTGACAATGATTTTCTAGATTTGAAACAACAAAATAAAAAATAGACAAGCAGGACTATGTAAAGCTAAAAAGCTTCTTCACAACAAAGGAAATGATCAACAGAGTGAAAAGTCATCCTATGAAGCGGGAGAAAATATTTCAAACCATCTATCTGATAGGGGTTAATATCTAAAATACATAATAATCTTCTCAACTCAATAATATATACACACACACACACAACTTAAAATTGACAAAATAATTGAATAGGTATTTCTTTAAAGAAGACATATAAATGGCCAACAAGTATATAAAAACGTACTCAATACCACTAACCATCAGAAAAAGGCAACCATAGTCAGATATCACTTAACATATTTTAGGATGGTTATTATAAAAAAAAAAAGTGTTGGTGTGAATGTGGAGAAACTGGATCCCTTATACACTGAATATAGAAATTGCAGCCACTATGCAAAATGGTATGAAAATTCCTTTAAAAATTAAAAATAAATCTACAATCTGATCCAGCAATTTCTCTTCTGGGTGTATAGCCAAGAGAATTGAAATCAGGGCCTTGAAGAAATATGTGCAACACTCTGTTTATTTTGAAATTTTTTACAGTAGACAAAATACAAAAACAACCCAAGTATTCATTGGCAGATGAATGGATAAAGAAAATGAATATATACATGAATATTATTTAACCTTTAAAAGAAGGAGATCCTGCCAATTATTACAATATGGACAAACCTAGAGGATATCATGATAAGTAAAATAAGACAGTCTCAAAAGGACAAATGTTGCATGGCCATGCTTAAGTCAACCTCATAGAAATACAAAATAGAATGGTGATTGTAAAGGAATGTGTAGAGGGGGAGATGGGGAATTGTTTATCAGTGGGTATGGTATAAAGTTCCTGTTATGCAAGATAAATAAGATCTAGAGATCTGCAGTACAACATATTACCTATAACTAGAAAATAGTATTTTGCACTTTAAAATATGTTAACAAGACTATAGATCTCATGATAAGTGCTTTTACAGAAACAAAAACAACACAAAAGAGCATGAGGACATTTTTGGAGGTGGTGGATATGCTTACTACCCTGGTTGTGGTGATGATAGTATGTGTACATATGCCCAAACTCATCACGATGTATACATTAAAGACATATAATTTTTTTATGTCAATTGTACCTCAATAAAGCTAAAATAAGATTTCTGGAAACATTTTTGCCTCTAGCTGGAAATGTTGACAAGGCATGTCCATAAGACTCGTAGTGACCTCTGTGTCTAACATAGAGGGCTTAAGAGGCCTGTCTTAAGATTTTTAGAAACTATTCTAGGCTTCCCCATTATCTTTCTGAGCTTTCAACAATGGGTATTATAGTCACATCCTTGGGATCTTTACCTAAAAACCATACTTCACTAACAGCACCTTGGAATATGATCTTTGCCCTGAAGCCATTTCTTACTTTGAGAAACTTCTACCATCTAGACTATTTAGCACTAATATACAGTTTAATTTTTTGATCCTAGGAAGTCCTGGAATCTAGTTTTCCTCTAAATACTGATTGAAAATTGAATGCCTTGTTTTTTAGTTCATCTTACGTCTGCCCTATTTTGTAATAGTCAGCTAAAAGAATCTGTTGGAACTTTCACTATTTTGATGGTTTTTATGTCAGCTTGACTGAGGATGTCCACACTTTATTTAATTGAGCAGTTTTCTGGATGTGTCAGTGAGGATGTTTTTAGATGAGACTAACATTTGAATTGATAGATTGAGTAAAGCAGATTATCCTCCCTAATGTAGGTGGCCATCATCCAATCAATATTCTGTTGACTCTGTTTCTCAGAAGAACCCTGACTACTACAATCATTCTTCCTAGTAAGCACCTTAGCAACATCTGGGTTCAATAGATATCCTTTCTATCTTCTTTGTTACTGTGGATAGTACATGTCTACTGTACTACATATTACTATAGATAGTGGATGTCTCTCTTGACCGCCAGGCCAACAATTAGAGTTAAATCCCCATAAATTAATTAGGGTTGTGCTAGAGATGTTAAAATAGAAAAGAGATTAAACTGACAGGAGTGCAAATAGTAGTTACAATGTGCCAGCAGGAGTACCATGGGATTGAATTTTGAGTGTGCATGATCAAGGGACTAGAACACTAAACTGGATAAATGAGAATATATTAACTAGGGGACATTGAATTCTTAGACACGGAATCTGGGGCTTAAGTAAATGTGCTGCTAGTGTGGCTCTTACAAGCACAGGGAAGGCATTGGCCCATGATGATCAAAGTTAAAATTACTGAGTTGCCCTGACAGATGGTATGGAAAGGAATAAAGAGACTCAGGAAAGTGGGGGTATTGGAAGAATATACTATATGTAGGTCAGAAAAGCCACCAGAATATTATGTTCCACAAGAGTACTCAGAGGAGACACACCATTCACAATTCAGAATGCTCTGGCAGAGGCGTTCTGGAATTACTAAGAAATTCAGTGGTGACTCTTTGTAGACCAGGGATAATGGTTACAGAAGTAATCACAGAGTTTGAATTGCTGGAGAAAAGGGGCCTACAGCAATAAAAATATATGGTAGCATTGAACCACTGGAAGCTAGTAGTTGGCAATTGCTGTAATCATCAGTGAGTCAAAAAGGTAGCCAAGTAGTCTTGACCTACAGGAAGCTGTGGTGATGGTTAATATAACATGTGTCCCTAAAGACGAAATTACAGGACAGCTGATGAGGTTGCTGCTTAAAAACTACAATCAAAAGAAGGCAAGAGTAGAGGAACAGGACACTGAGGGTGGTCTCTCTAATAAAATGGCCTAATTTCCTGCTCAGTTCACAGACGCAAGCTAATATTTAGGTGCATAACTTATTACCTGAACATTTAGTCATGTCCTCCAGAAAGAAGTGAACTTCAACATTGTGGTAAGCATTTACTGGAAAGACACCTATAGTTTTTCCCGAGAGGGAGCTAACATTATTTATGCAAATTACTGCACACTGGGAAAGGGGGAATACCCAAATATTTCAAGTACAGTTGTCTGAGTTGACACCGATACTCCAAGAGCCAAAGCATCACCATGGCCCAAATGTTACAATGAGCATACAGAAGCCAGATTACGAATGGAGTCATGTTAAAGTTTAGCTTACAGTACGTCACCCAGTACTGTAGGCACATCCAATAGTCGTTCCCACAGTCACTGGCTATACGATTAGGACTGATATACTTGGCAGTAAGAGAAGCCTCTACATCAGTCCTTGGCCAGTGGGAAATGCGCTATCGTACTGGATAATGCCAACTGGAAGCTTTGAAACTGCCCCATCTGGCAAGGATATTAAACTAACAACAATATCACATCCTGGGAAGGATAGCCAAGATTAGTGCCCCCTTAAATATCTAAAGACTGAAAGATCACTTGCAAAAAACAGATAAATCCTGAATAGCTGCAGACTAGTAGTCTTGATCACAGCTGTCATGTCAGACATGGTATCATTGCTAGAACAAGTTAACAGGGCTTCAGGTAAATGGTTTTTGTCCATTGATATGGCAAATGCATTCTTGTTTCTTGGGAGCATCCCAAGAGTGACTGTTTCAGGAGATCTATTAAGAAGTTGTAAGGTTTCTTTTAACGTACCTTCGAAGTTCCAGAACATCATTTTTGTTGCATTCTATTGGTGAAGTCACTGTGCCAGCCCAGGTTCAAGAAAAATGAACCACACAGGGCATCAATGCTGAGAGGCATGGTTCACTTGGCATCCATGTGTCTAGACTAGCTACCACATTGACTTGAGACTCATTTTGATAGTCCCGTCTGAAGATTAATGTATTTGTTTTTACCTAGCAAAAACATACATGGTGCATTGTATGTGTCAGACCCTATTCTAAGTACTTTATACATATTAGCTCATTTAATCATCGTAACAACCTTTATTCTTATTTTACAGATGAAGAAATACAGGAACAGAAATGTTAAGTCATTTGCCCAAAGTTTTTCCGACAGTGATTAGCAATGATAGATGTAAGCCCAAGCAGAATGGCTACAGTCATTTTCTTGAAAATTACACTGTGCTTTCTCAGCTGTTACATCTTTAAATACAGACCATTCTCTTTGTGCTCTTTTTCTGGACCTCCTTTCTAACAGATGTGCTGGGAAGTTCACAACGTATTTCCTGCAATCAGGCAAGAGAAAGAAATAAAGAGTATTCAATTAGGAAAAGAGGAAGTCAAATTGTCTCTGTTTGCAGATGACATGATCGTATATTTAGAAAATCCCATCATCTCAGCCCAAAATCTCCTTAAGCTGATAAGCAACTTCAGCAAAGTCTCAGGATACAAAATCAATTTGCAAAAATCGCAAGCATTCCTATACACCAACAACAGACAAACAGAGAGCCACATCATGAGTGAACGCTCATTCACAATTGCTACAAAGAGAATAAAATACCTAGGAATACAACTTACAAGTGATATGAAGGACTTCTTCAAGGAGAACTGCAAACCAATGCTCAAGGAAATAAGAGAGGACACAAACAAACAGAAAAACATTCCATGCTCATGCATAGGAATAATCAATATCGTGAAAATGGCCACACTGCCCAAAGTAATTTATAGATTCAATGCTATCCCCATCAAGCTACCATTGACTTTCTTCACAGAATCAGAAAAAACAACTTTAAATTTCAAATGGAACCAAAAAAGAGCCTGCATAGCCAAGACAATCCTAAGCAGAAAGAACAAAGCTGGAAGCATCACACTACCTGACTTCAAACTATACTACAAGGCTACAGTAACCAAAACAGCATGATACTGGTACCAAAACAGATATATAGACCAACGGAACAGAACAGAGGCCTCAGAAATAACACCACACATCTACAACCAACTGATCTTTGACAAACCTGACAAAAACAGGCAATGGGGAAATGATTCCCTATTTAATAAATGGTGTTGGGAAAACTGGCTAGCCAGATGTAGAAAGCTGAAACACGATCCCTTCCTTACACCTTATACAAAAATTAACTCAAGATGGATTAAAGACTTAAACATAAGACCTAAAACCATAGAAACCCTAGAAGAAAACCTAGGCAATACC
Organism: Homo sapiens; assembly: GCF_000001405.40. Taxonomy (NCBI): domain Eukaryota; kingdom Metazoa; phylum Chordata; class Mammalia; order Primates; family Hominidae; genus Homo; species Homo sapiens. Next base: position 672,615 of record NT_167246.2, read on the forward strand.
ATTCAGGTCATAGGCTTGGGCAAAGACTTCATGACTAAAACACCAAAAGCAATGGCAACAAAAGCCAAAATAGACAAATGGGATCTAATTAAACTAAAGAACTTCTGCACAGCAAAAAAAAACTATCAGCAGAGTGAACAGGCAACCTACAGAATGAGAGAAAATTTTTGCAATCTATCCATCTGACAAAAGGCTAATATCTAGAATCTACAAAGAACTTAAACAAATTTACAAGAAAAAAGCAACCCCATCAAAAAGTGAGCAAAGGATATGAACAGAAACTTCTCAAAAGAAGACATTTATGCAGCCAACAAACATATGAAAAAAAGCTCATTATCACTGGTCATTAGAGAAATGAAAATCAAAACCAAAATGAGATACCATCTCACGCCAGTTAGAATGGTGATCATTAAAAAGTCAGGAAACAACAGATGCTGGAAAGGACATGGAGAAATAGGAACACTTTTACACTGTTGGTGGGAGCGTAAATTAGTTCAACCATTGTGGAAAACAGTGTGGCGATTCCTCAAGGATCTAGAACTAGAAATATCATTTGACCCAGCAGTCCCATTACTGGGTATATACCCAAAGGATTATGTATCATTCTACTATAAAGACACACACATGTATGTCTATAGCAGCACTGTTCACAATAGCATTGACTTGGAACCTACCCAAATGCCCATCAATGATAAACTGGATAAAGAAAATATGGCACGTATACACCATGGAATACTATGCAGCCATAAAAAGGGATGAGTTCATGTCCTTTGCAGGGACATGGATGACACTGGAAAGCATCATTCTCAGCAAACTATCACAAGAACAGAAAACCAAAACAGAGAACCGCTTGTTCTCACTCATAGGTGGGAGTTGAACAGTGAGAACACATGCACACAGGGAGGGGAACATCACACCCCAGGGCCTGTCAGGGGGTGGGAGGGTAGGGAAGGGGTAGCATTAGGAGAAATACCTAATGTAGATGACGGGTTGATGGGTGCAGCAAACCACCATGGTACATGTATACCTATGTAACAAACCTGCACGTTCTGCACAGGTACCCCAGAACTTAAAGTATAATAATAAAAAAAAGGAAGTTAAAAAAAATTACTAAGAGTTTCAAGACAGTGACCACAAAGCATTAAATCAAACATAGGGCCCTTCTGAGTGCAGGGTCCTTTGTGACTGCATGGGTCGCAGGCCCATGAAGCTTCCTTTGTAATAAAAGAAAATTTAAAACAAATAATATGTACAATCACAAAGAGACAATACATAAAGAAGAAAATTGCTGATCATGACTTCATTAAAATAGCGAATGGCTAGTCAACTAAGAAAATTGTAGATAAAATTAAGATGAATAATATTTGAAAGAGCACAATACAGTGATCACTAGAACTAAGGAGCCTCAGTTTGAGTCCTGGTTTCACAATATATCACAAGAAGAAAAATTTACTTAAATCCTTTGAGCCTCAGTTTTCTTGTGATATAAGATAAATGACTGTATTACTTACTTCATTGGGTTTTTGTGAGAATTAAGAGAGCTAATAGATGTAAAGAACTTAGAACAATACCTTACACATAATAAGCATGCAATAAATAGTATTCATTTGTATTATATTCACAGTGTATAAAATAACAAGAAGTTGAGGGCTGGCCAAGATGGCCAACGAGAAGCACCTATTGTGCACCGCTGTCACAGAGCAAAATAGAAGAGGCAAGTAAATACAGTATCTTCAACTGAACTGGGTACGTGCATTGGGATTCATCAAGAAAACAACCCAACCCACAGAGAACAGAGAAAAGCAAGGCAGGAGAACCACCCACTTGGGAATGACATGTAGCCAGGGTAGCCTCCCCTGCCCAGAGAAGTGGTGAGTGAGTGAGCGACCTTGGGAACCCATACTTTTCCCACAGAACTTTGCAACCCTCAGGTCAGGAGATCCCTCATGAACTCACTCCACCAGGGCCTTCAGTCTGACATGCAAAGCTATGTGGAGTCTCGTCAGAGCATCCACTCAGGCACACTGGAAGCCACAGGAGCTTTAGATACCCAGGCTTCCCAGCAAAAGTAACTGCAACTCTGGCAAACTGGGAGGTTAGACACCCCCCCCCATATATACCCCTAGAAAACGGTCTAAATCCACGGGGCTGAGCAATGACTATCTGCAAGCCCCATTTCCATGGAACATCACAGGATAAGACCCAATAGCTTTGAACTCTAGGCTGCCATGGGTAGCAACATTATACCTCCCTGAGATGGAGATCTCAGAGGGAGGCTTGGGCTGCCTTCTTTGCTGTTTCATAGCCTTAACCATTGGTGCCTTCAGGCTCTGGGGAATCTGAGGTGACTAGGGACTGGAGTGGTACCCCAGCACAACATAGCAGCTCTACAAAGAGATGGCCAGACCACTTTTCCATGTGGGTCTCAGATCCCATTTCTGTTTACTGGGAGGAATCCCCTGACCGAGGTCTACAACCACTTCTGCTGGTGTTTTCCGGCCAGTAGCAATCCCAAACCTCCCTAGCAGAGCTCCCAGAGGAGGGGTAGGCCTCCATCTTTACTGTTTTGCAGGCTTAGCCATTGTCACTTTTGGGCTTTGGAGAGCTGGAAGCAACTGGGGGCTGGAGTAGACCCCAAAGACAGCATAGCTGCTCTATGAAAAAGTGGCCAGACTGCTTTTTAATGCACCTCCTGATCCTGTTTTTCCTCACTGAGTGGGAACTTCTGGGATCCCCAGCCAACCCTGCCAGTGTGTTTGGGCTGGTAACAGGTCCATTCCTTCCTGGAGCAGAGCTCCCAGAGGGAGGCGCAGGCCGCCATCTTTGCTGTTTGACAAACTTCACTGTTGATACCATCAGGTACTGGAAAATCTGAAGTGACTAGGGACTGGAGCAGATCCCCAGAATATGGTAGCAGCTCTATGGAAAAGTGGTCAGACTGTATGTTATGTGGGTCCCCAATCCTGTATCTTCTCCTGGGGCAGATCCTCCCAGCCTAGTCTCCAGTCACCCTTACACTGGGACTATTGAGCCAGTAGCAGTTCTGCAATGCCCTGGGACAAAGCTCCCAATGGAAGGGGTGGGTTGTCATCTTTGCTTTCTCACAGTCTTCATCCTTGTGTCCCCAGGCCCTGGAGAGTCTGTGGGACCAAGGGCTGGTTGGGACCCATAACACAGAGCATCCACATCATAGAAAAGTGGCTGAACTGTTCTCCATGCAGATCCTGATCCTCACTTCTCCTCACTGGGCAAGGCCACATGACCTGGGACTCCAGCACAATCACCCAGCTGCCACCTGACCACTTCAATCAGAGGCAGTTCTGCAGTTAAAGGAACACTCACACACAGAGATGAGAAAAAAAAAAAAAGAACTCTGGCAACTCAAATGGTCAGAGTGTCTTATGTCCTCCAAATGATCACTCTAGTTCTTCAACAAGAATTCTTAAGCAGACTGAGATGGCTGAAATAACAAATAGAATTCAGAATATGGATAGGAATGAAGATAATTGAGATTCAGGAGAATGGCAAAACCCAATCCCAGGAAGCTAAGAATCACAATAAAACGATACAAGAGGTGACAGACAAAACAGCCAGTATAAAAACAACCTAACTGACCTGATAGAGCTGAAAAACTCACTAAAATAATTTTTCAATGCAATCACAAATATTAATAGCAGAGTAGACAAAGCTGAGGAAAGAATCTGAGAATTTGAAGACAGGCTCTCTGAAATAAGAGAGTCAGACAAAAATAAAGAATAAAAGGAAAAGGAATGAACAAAACCTCTGTGAAATATGAGATTATGTAAAGAGGCCAAATCTACAAATCACTGGTATCCCTGCAAGAGAGGGGGAGAAAGCAAACAACTTGGAAAACATATTTCAGGATATCAACCATGAAAACTTCCCCAATCTTGCTAGAGAGGCCAATAGTCAAATGCAGGAAATACAGAAAACCTCTGCAAGATTCTAGACAAGAAGATCATCCCCAACACACAAAATCATCTTATTTTCCAGGACAAAATGAAAGAAAGAATGTAAAAGGCAGCTTGAGAGAAAGGGCAGGTCACCTACAAAGGGAACCGTATGAGGCTAACAGTGGACCTCTCAGCAGAAATGTTGAAAGCCAGAAGAGATTGCAGGTCTATATTCGATATTCTTAAAGAAAAATTTCTTTAACCAAGAATTTTATATCCAGCCAAACTAAGCTTTCTCTGTGAAGGAGAAATAAGATCTTTTCAGACAAGTAAACATTGAGGGATTGTATTACTAGACCCACCTTACAAGAGATCTTGAAAGGAGTACTAAATATGAAAAGAAAACACCATTACCAGCCAATACAAAAACACATTTAAGTACACAGACCCGTGACACTATAAAGCAACCAGACAAACAAGCAGGCATAATAACCAGCTAACAACAAAAAGACAGGATTAAATCTACATATATCAATACAAACATTGAAAGTAAACAGGCTAAATGTCCCAATTAGAAGGCACAGAGTGGCAAGCTGGGTAAAGAAGCAAAATCCAATTGTATGCTGTCTTCAGGAAACCCATCTCACATGCAATGACACCCATAGGCTCAAAATAAAGGGATGGAAAAAATCTGCCAAGTAAATGAAAATCAGAAATAAGAAGAGGTTGCAATTCTAATTTCAGAGAAAAACAGACTTTAAACTAACAAAAACGAAAAAAGACAAGGAAGGGCATTATCTAATGATAAAGGATTCAATTCAACAGGAAGATCTAGATATCCTAAATATATATGCACCCACAGCAGGAGAATCCAGATTCATAAAGCAAGTTCTTAGAGACCTACAAAGAGACTTAGATGCCCACACAATGGGAGTCTCCAGTAGGGTATTTCAACACTCCCCTGACAGTACTAGACAGATCATCAAGGCAGAAAATTAACAAAGATTTAAACAAAGATTGAACTCAACATTGGATCAAATAGATCTGATAGACCTCAGAACTCTCCACCCCAAAACAACAGAATGTGCATTCTTCTCATCAACACAGGCACGTACTCTAAAAATAGACCCCACAATTGGACATAAAACAATCCTCAGCAAATGCAAAAGAACTGAAATCATACCAAACACATTGGTGGACAACAGCTCAATAAAAATAGAAATCAAGACTAAAAAAATCACTCAATCCATGCAATTACATGGAAATTAAACAACTTACTCTTTAATGAATTTGAGGTAAGTACTGAAATTAGTGCAGAAATCAAAATGTTCTTTGAAACTATTGAGAATGAAGATACAACATACCAGAATCTCTGGGGCACAGCTAAGGCAGCATTAAGGGGGAAATTTGTAGCACTAAATGCCCACATCAAAAAGATACGAAGATCTCAAATTAACAACCTAACATCATAAGTAAAAGAACTAGAGACAGAAGACAAAACCAACCCAAAAGCTAGCAGAAGACAAGAAATAACCAAAATTAGAGCTGATCTGAAAGAAATTGAGATGAGAAAAACCATACAAAAGATAAACGAATCCAGGAGTTTGTTTTTTGGGAGAATTAATAAGATGAATAGACTCCTAGCTAGATCAATAAAGAAGGAAAGAGAGATGATCCAAATAAACACAATCAGAAATGACAAATGGGATGCTACCATTGACCCCACAACAATACAAATAATCATCAGAGACATGATGAATCATGAACACATATGCACATGAACTAGAAAACCTCGATGAGATGGATAAATTTCTATACACATACATCCTCCCACGTCTGAACCAAGAAGAAACTGATTCTGTGAAGAAACCAATAACGAGCTCTGAAATTGAATCAGTAATAAATAGCCTACCAAACAAAGGGGGAGTGACTCCTCCCCAACTCATTCTATGAGGCCAGCATCATCCTGATACAAAAACCTGAAAGAAACACATACATGAAAGGAAAACTTCAGGCCAATATTCTTAATGAACATAGATGCAAAAATTCTCAACAAAATGCTAGCAAACTGAATTCAGCAGCACATCAAAAAGCTAATACAAAATGATTAAGTAGGCTTTATCCCTGGGATACAAGGTTGGTTCAACATTTGCAAATTAATAAATGTGATTCATCACATAAACAGAACTAAAAACAAAACTCACATGATTATCTCAATAGATAACAGAAGAGGCTTCCAATTAAGTTCAACATTGCTTCATATTAAAAATTCTCAATAAACTAGGTATTAAGGAAAATACCTCAAAATAGTAGGAGCCATTTATGACAAATCCAAAGCCAACATCATACTGAATAGACAAAAGCTGGAAGCATTCCTCTGGAAAACCAGCACAAGACAAGGATGTCCTCTCTCAGCACTCCTATTCAACATAGCATTGGAAGTCCTGGCTAGAGCAATTAGGCAAGAGAAAGAAATAATGGGCATTATAGGAAGAGAGTAAGTAAAACTATTCCTGTTTGCAGATGACATGATTCTATATCTAGAAAACCCCATAGTCTTGGTCAAAAAGCTCCTTCAGCTGATACACTATTTCAGCAAAGTTTCTGGATACAAAATCAATGTACAAAAGTCACTAGCATTCCTATACAGCAACAACAGTCAAGCTGAGAGACAAATCAGGAACACAATCCCATTCACAATTGCCAAAGAAAGAATATAATACCAAGAAATGCAGCTAACAAGGCAGGTGAAAGGTCTCTACAATAAGAACTACAAAACACTACTCAGAGAAATCAGAGATAATACAAACAAATGGAAACAGATTTCTTGTTCATGGGTAGTAAGAATCATATTGTTTAAATGGCCATACTGCCCAAAGCAATTTACAGATTCAATGCTATTTCTATCAAACTACCAAAGACATTCTTGGTAGTTTCTAAACTAAAGTTTAGAATACTAGAATAAACTAGTTTATTCTAGAAAAACACTTTAAAATTCATGTGAAACCAAAAAAGAACCTGAATAGCCAAGCAATTCTAAGCAAAAAGAACAAATTTGGAGGCATCATGTTACCCTACTTCAAGCTATACTACAGAGCAACAGTAGCCAAAACAGGTTTCCTGAAAAATACCAGGGTATTCTTTCAGGAAAGTCCCAAAAATGGGAAAGTAAATCCATATCTCTGTCCTAGGAAATAAAAAGAAATTTGACTAAGAAAACATATTAAGCCATTGAGACCTGTGTTGGCCATAGTTCTAAAACTAACGAACAAACTTAGTAAGGAAAAAAAAAAAACAAGAATGAAAAAAACAAATGAAACTTCACACAGGAATTCCCCAAGGCCACTGATTCATATTACAGGTGTGGAAAGGCATCCTGCTAATTCCTAAAATCTTTCTCAACACCAGGGGACACTCTCCCTTTGGATTTCTATGTCTAGAGACCTGTGGCTCATTAAAAGGCAGACTGATTTTTCAGAAAGAGAGAAAGAGGTTTTTAAAGATGAGTTTATGCTGCAATCCCAACATGAACTATTACTTCAAATATGTTTTAACTTTTATAATCACTGGGAATATAAACATGAATAGCTTCCTTAACTGTGAATCAGAACACTCAATCAGGTAAGAGAATGAACTAGGAGACAGGCTGTGAAGTTACACATAATCTCAATATGTTAATGAATGATCTATCTACTTGCTAGTATTAAACACCCAGTATCTAGATCTCATTTTCTATCTAATGGTGGACTCCTCATTGTGTTTGTGAGATATGAAGGCCCTTGACTTACCATGTTTTTATTGCCATACCTTGTTCTCAATTCAACATATCTAGTTCTCTAGACATTATCCAAAGCAAACATGTGATTTCTAAATGGTGAAATTTCAGTGAAGGAAACGATTTACTACAGACCACTCTGACTGCTAATTTTCTCAGAAGCTAGGAATATATGTTTTACCATATGGATTTTTGGGACAATTTTGTTTTCTGGGTCCAAGAACCAAAAATTATATTTGAAATATAATTTGTATTTTAAACAGGAGTGGTAATTTTTAAATATACAAAATATACATGGTCATTCAAGAAAGTTATTGTGAATTATTTGAAGGCAGTCCTTCATGGAGGTATAGTAAAAGTTAGATTGTTTTTCAAAACTTCTTCCCAGCTATGAAGCCAAAAAACCCATGGGCTCTCTAGAAGTGTTCCCTTGTTCATTATTTTTTTTTACCCTAGTCACATCAAATTATATTCTTTTCTCCTCAGTGGTTTCTAAAACCTTGAATGATACTCCTTTTATAGGAAGCACTCCAATGTCAGCATCTCTTTTCAATTTCTTTACAGTTCTACTAGCTCTCTCAGTGCCTCTCACTTCTGTAAGTTCCCCACACATCCTGACTTCTTCCCTCCCAATATACAAGAGCTAATCCATTACAGCCTAATGAAAAGAACAAAGAAGAAGCTACTTCACAATATTATGTCTGCTTTTATTAGTAAACCTAATGAAGATAATACCAGTACTTTGCAAATTATGGAGAAAAAATTTTTCTAGAAAATGTAATGGATCTAGAAGAGAAGAAGGTGAATTTCACTTGAGGTAGAATATTCCTTAATATCTGATGAGTGAGTTTATTTCAGGCAAAATAAAAACAGAACTTAAGAAAATAGATCACAAGAGAAGACAATTTCAAGAAGGCTGAATATATATTTTGAGGAGAGGTTAGTATTGGTGAAAAAAGAAGAGAAACTACTGAATCTATCAGAGGAAATACTATTCTTATCCAGGGATTCACAGATTTCCTAGGAAAGAAAGAGTCTAAGATCAACTGGTGAATAAAAGCACAATAACATTTGCAATGAAAAAAATAATTTGGGATTCTATTTCAAAAAATGTATAAAGGGTCAGATTATAGGAAGAAACTGAGCTCATCATCAGATATAATAGTGATGAAATTTTAAATATTCAGGTTAATATGTGATTAATGTGGTCATGTTTCTTACCCCAGTAGGTCACTGCGACATTTCAGGGATGTGGGTCAGGAAGAGATCAGTAAGAGAATATCTCTAATTCATTTACATTCTAAAATGAGGAAATGCAATTACTACTACTCTTTCAAGATTTAAAAAAAAAATCGTGGTTTTGATGCATTGAAACCTGTCTTTTTATTTAAGTTAACATCCTACTGGTGGTTTCTTACTAGGCCAAGAGATAGCTATGTGGTATGCTTAAAAATTGCCCCCTGTGAGAGCTGCTTGGGAAGATGAAAGGAAAGCTGTGACCGAATGAAGATATTCACAGGCCCAGAGATGTGGCTAATGCCTGTAATCGCAGCACTTTGGGAGGCCGAGGCAGGCAGATAACTTGAGGTCAGGAATTCAAGACCAGCCTGGCATACACGGTGAAACCCCATCTCTATTAAAAATACAAAAATTAGCCAGGTGTGGTGGTGGACTCCTGTAATCCCAGTTACTTGGGAAGCTGAGGCGAGAGACTCTCTTGAACCCAGGAGGCGGAGGTTGCAGTGAGCCAAGATCACACCACTGCACTTCAGCCTGGGAGAAAGAGTGAGAATCTCAAAAAAAAAGAATGAAAATATTCACAGCCAGAGAAGACTGTAGGCTAGCAACGTTTTCTGATTCCTGGGAGAAAGAAATATATTAATGAAAAACATAATAAAAAAATAGTTGTGTCAGAGATCATAACAGATATATATATATATATCTTTAATATTTAGCCATCTAAAAGCCAAAAATGTAAAACTTGTGAGGTTGAATCATGCAAAACAACAATACTCTCCCTCCAGATATTCTTGGCTTGGTAAGAAAATTCTGAGCTGGAAGGATTCTGATTGTGATTAGTGTTCCATACATTATTTTGTCTTTTGTCTGAAGCAATGCTGAATACAACCTCAGTCACTGAATTTCTCCTTTTGGGAGTGACAGACATTCAAGAACTGCAGCCTTTTCTCTTCGTTGTTTTCCTTACCATCTACTTCATCAGTGTGGCTGGGAATGGAGCCATTCTGATGATTGTCATCTCTGATCCTAGACTCCATTCCCCTATGTATTTCTTCCTGGGAAACCTGTCCTGCCTGGACATCTGCTACTCCAGCGTAACACTGCCAAAAATGCTGCAGAACTTCCTCTCTGCACACAAAGCAATTTCTTTCTTGGGATGCATAAGCCAACTCCATTTCTTCCACTTCCTGGGCAGCACAGAGGCCATGTTGTTGGCCGTGATGGCATTTGACCGCTTTGTGGCTATTTGCAAGCCACTTCGCTACACTGTCATTATGAACCCTCAGCTCTGTACCCAGATGGCCATCACAATCTGGATGATTGGTTTTTTCCATGCCCTGCTGCACTCCCTAATGACCTCTCGCTTGAACTTCTGTGGTTCTAACCGTATCTATCACTTCTTCTGTGATGTGAAGCCATTGCTAAAGCTGAGCTTAATCAGTGGCTGCTCAGTACTGTCACAGGGACAATCGCCATGGGCCCCTTCTTTCTCACATTACTCTCCTATTTCTACATTATCACCCATCTCTTCTTCAAGACTCATTCTTTTAGCATGCTCCGCAAAGCACTGTCCACTTGTGCCTCCCACTTCATGGTAGTTATTCTTTTGTATGCACCTGTTCTCTTCACCTATATTCATCATGCCTCAGGGACCTCCATGGACCAGGACCGGATCACTGCCATCATGTATACTGTGGTCACTCCAGTACTAAACCCACTGATCTACACTTTGAGGAACAAGGAAGTGAAAGGGGCCTTTAATAGAGCAATGAAAAGGTGGCTTTGGCCTAAAGAAATCTTGAAGAACTCTTCTGAAGCATAAATAAACAATTAAAAAGATGAGTTTGTAATTACATTGTTTCTTAAATTATTTAGAAATGTACAACAGAGGGAACTGGATAAAACAAAAATATATGGAAAAATATGCTGTAGTTGTATTTAACAATGCTTTCCTGGATTATATAAGGGACATTTGAATGAATGGGATACTAGCCATGGAACTCTACTGCTGACTATGTTTTGAAGATATCAGTTGATAAAATTGATGTTAGGTTTTTTATATGTTCTTATGATGAAATTGGGTATAGAAATATGCCTGTTTTTCCCATATATCAAATATATGGATAATACTTGGGTCTATTTATCTATCTGGTCCCTCTAGGTTAATGCATTATAATATTATAAATAAAATTATTATGCTTTGATATTTTGAGGATTTTACTTTAGGGCCATAGTTACTCAACTGGAAAAGAATATGCTAACTGACGTATGAGTTAAGGAGAATTTTTAAGGGGTGGGTCTTGATTTCTTATTCTTCAAACAAGGAGACAAGTAATTAAAGCAAATGACATTGTAATCACTAAATAACAACAACAACAAAAACCCTGACAGTTCATCTAAATAGTTTTGGCACCTCTGTCTCCAGATATCTCTTATTAGTCAACTGTCCACACCCTCAATGATTACTTAAAATATTAAAAATCGGAGATAATTTAACAAAGCTCTTAAGACTCTTTCAATCTCGTTAGGATGTTATTGTTCCCTCAGCCTTTAATTGCGGAAGATGACGACTTTATCAAAATTTTATTTTCTTTTTCTTACTTGGCACCAAACTCATACTAAGCAAAGGCATAGAAGTCATAATTATTGAAGTATTTCTAGACATGAACTGCTATGTTCCTCACTTTTTAAGTTCCTATAAATGGCTTCTGTCCCTGAAAAAATGGTGGATTCTATAATTTATAAATATTTAAAGAATAGACAGAAAATACTATGAAAAGGCATTTTAAGCTGGTGGACTGACCCTTCAAGGTCCCTGCATGCACTTTTGTAAATCTAAACAATTTTATTCTGACTTCTCTCCATGCTTCTTTTGTCTTCTAACTTCACCTTCTTTGGTCCCTCAATTCCAGTTTAGTTTATAATAAAACAAAACAACAATGTGTGTGTGGAGATGGCAACTCCTAATCTCAACTGTCCCACACTATCAGTAATATATTTGATGCATATTTTTATACAATATGTTTTTTCTGTCATTTCTGGTGGTGAGAATCTGCCACATAATTCAAACTTCAGAGAGTTTGTGAACTGTAGAAGAGCACATGGGGTTCTGGTTAACTATTAGTGCATAACACATTAGGACCCCAAAATTCAATCGCTTAAAACACTTAAGTTACATGCTTTGTTGGGTAAGAAATTTGGAAAAACACAGCAGAGAATGGTTGACTCTGATCCATAATGTCTCTGACCTTTGCTGGAATGACTTCAGTCTGGTCACGGAATAGCTGAGAGCTGAGTAAGTCTCTCTCTCTATTTCTTTTTCTCCTCCCTTAATTGCTCCTTGTGACTATCATATGCTTCTTCAACAGGGAAGCCTCAGACAGACTTTTTCATGTTCCAGTAGACCACGGCAAAAGCTGCCAGCCTGGGGCTGAGATTGACCAGTAATAAAATGTCTCCTATTCAAAAAAGCCCAGGATCTGATGGCTTTATTGATGTATACTACCAAACATTTATAGGATAATTAATGCCAATCTTCTTAAACTCACTCAAAAATATGAAAAGGAAGAAATACTTTCAAACTCACTTTATGAGGTCAGCATTACCCTAATACCAAAGCCAGACAACGCAACTATAAGGAAATGCAGTTACAGGCCAATATCCCTGATGAACATAGATGCAAAAATCCTCAATGAAAACTAGCAAAATGAATTCAACAGCACATTAAAATGATCATACACCATGACTAAGTGGGATTCATCCTTAGGATGCAAGAATGGGTTAACATACACAAATTAATAAATATGATATGCCACATTAACATACTGAGGGATAAAAACCATATGATAATAGGTGCAGAAGAAGCATTTGATAAAATTCAATATTCTTTCATAACTAAAAGAAACTTTCAACAAATTAGGTATAGAAGAAACATAGCTTAATGTAATAAAGATAATGTATATCAAGTCCACTGCTATTCTCATTATCAGTGTTGGAAAGCTAAAAGCTTTTCTTCCGATATCAGGAGCAAGTCAAGGAGGCCCACTTTCACAATTTCTCTTCAATATAATTCTGACATTCCTAGCTATAGCAATTACACAAAAGAAATAAATAAAAGGCATCCAAACTAAAAAGGAAGAAGTAAAATTTTCTGTTTGCAGATGACTGGATCTTACATCTAGAAAACCCTAATGACTACACCAAAAACTGTGAGAACTAATAAATTTAGTTAAGTTCACAGGATACAAAATTAACTTACAAAAGCCAGTTGCATTTTTACAACAATGATCTATTTGAATAGGAAATCAAGAAAACAATTCTATTTACAATAATATCAAAGGTAAATAAAATACTTAGGGATAAATCTAACCAAGAAGGTGAAAGATCTGTACCTTGAAAACTATAAGGCATGGATGACAGAAATTGAAAAAGATACAAATAAATGGAAAGATATTCTTTATTCATGGATTGGAAGAATTCATATTGTCAAAATGCTCATACTTTCCTAAGCAAACTGTAGATTCTTTACAATCCCTATCAATATTCTAATGGAATTTTTTACAGAAATAGCAAAAGTACTAAAATTCTTATGGAACCACAAAAGACTCCAAATAGCCAAGGCTATCTTGAGCAAAAAGAACAAAGCTGGAGGCACAACTACCTGAACTCAAAATATACCACAAAGCTATAGTAATCAAAACAGTATGATACTGGCATAAAAACAGATACATAGAACAATGGAACAGAATAGAGAGCCCAGAAATAAATCTATGTACTTATGGTCAGTTGGTCTTTGGCAAAGGTGCCAAGAACATACAATGGGAAAAGAATAGTTTCTCCAATAAATTGTGTTGGAAAAACTTAATATTCCACCTAAAGAAGAATGAAATTAAACCATTGTCTCAAACAATACGCAAAAATCAATTTAATTGGATTAAAAACTGAAAGGCAAGACCTGAAACTAAAACTACTGGAAGAAAACAGGGAAAAACTTCTCAATGGTGGTCTGGGAAATGATATTTTTAAAATATCATACGTAAAGCACAGGAAACAAAATCAAAAATAAATACGATTCTACCAAACTAAATAGTTCCTATTTAACAAAAGAAAACATCAACAGAATGAAGAGATAACCTATGAAATGGGAAAACAATATTTCATAAAGAGTTAATATCCAAAATATACATTTTTTAAAAACTCAATAGCAAGAAAACAAATAGCCTAGTTTAAAAATGAGGAAAGAATCTAAATAGACATTTTTTCAATGAAATAGATATTTCCACACAAATGGCCAAGTGTATTTTTTAATGTTCAACATCATTAAATCAAAGGAAATACAAACTACAACCACGAGATATCACTTCACATCTGTTAGAATGGCTTTTATCAAAAAGACAAAAAATAACAAGTATTAATGAGGATATAAAAAGAGAACCTTTGTACATTGTTTTTGGGAATTTACATTTGTACAGCCATTATGGGGAACATATAGAGATTCCTCAAAAAACATAAAGGTAGAAATACCATATGATTCAGTAATCCCACTTCTGGGTATATGTCTAAAGGAAATAAAATCAGTATTTCAAAACCAAACATTGTATGTTCTCACTGATATGTGGGAGCTAAGCTATAAGGATGCAAATACATAAGAATGATACAGTGGACTTAGGGGACTTGGGGTGTAGAGTGGGAGGGGGGGTGAAGGATAAAAGACTACAAATACGGTGCAGTGTATACTGCTTGGGTGATGAGTGCACCAAAATCTCACAAATCACCACTAAAGAACTTACTCATGTAACCAAATACTACTTGTACCCCAATAACCTATGGAAAAATAAAAAAAAAATTAGTATTTCAAAGACATATCTGCACTCTTGTGTTCATTGCAGCATGATTCTCAATAGCCAAGATACAGAATTAGCCCAAAGGTCCATCAAAACAGAGAAGTGGATTTAAAAATGTGACCTATATAATGTGCATATAGCGTGGTGATTATAGTTAACAATACTGTATTATATACTTGAAATTTTCTAAACTAGAAGATCATAAATGTTCTCACCACACACATACAAAAGGTTGTAACTATGTGAGGTGATGGATGTGTTAATTGGCTTAATTGTGGTAATCGTTTCACAATGTATACATATCTCAAAACATCACAGTAAACATCATAAATATATACAACTTCATGTGTCAGTCATACCTTAATAAAGTTAAGAGGAAGAAAACGACCACCAAACCCTCTAGGCAGGGGAATATGTCAATAGGAACTTTAAAAACTGAAAAGCGAAGAAAACAAAGACTTATTAAAGCAGAGAAGAATATTCAAGGATTCTGGAAAAACTCCAAAATATGTAATACATACAATGGGAATATCAGAAGGAGTAGAAAAGTAGATAGGAACAGAAGAAATATTTGAAGCAATAACTGAAAATTTCCCCAAATTAATATGAGACATCAAACTTCAAATCTAGGAGGCTCAAGGAATACCAAGAAGCATAAATGCCAGAAAAACTATGGCTAGGAATATCATTTTTAAACTATGGAAAATTAAACAAAAATCAGAAAGTCAAAGATTTTTTTTAAATCATGAAGAAGCCAGAGGATAAAAAATACCATACCTTTAGGGAAGAAAAGATGACATCTGAGTTCGCAGAAGCTACAAAAGTTAGAAGAAAATAGAGTGAAATATTTAAAATTTTTGATAGAAGAAAAACCAATCTAGAATTCTGCACTACATGAAATTATCCTTCAAAAGTGAATGAGAAATAAACCTTCTCAGAGGAACAAAAATTGAGGGAATTTATTGCCAATAGACTTGCCTGGTAAAAAGTGATAAAATAAATTTTTTAGAGAGTAATAAAATTATA
Organism: Homo sapiens; assembly: GCF_000001405.40. Lineage (NCBI taxonomy): Eukaryota > Metazoa > Chordata > Mammalia > Primates > Hominidae > Homo > Homo sapiens. The sequence continues at coordinate 688,412 of NT_167246.2, forward strand.
CAAGTGAGACATTTCAATCCACCTTTAAGAACAGAAGAGCATTGAAGAAGAAATAAGTGAAAGTAAAATAAAAGAAAAAATATCTAATTACGTATGCTTATGTAAGTGTGTGTGTGTGTGTATGCTTTCATATGCTTAGGATGGTTTCATAACTTTGCTCTTGTGAAAAGTGCTGCAATTAACATACACATGCAGGTGTCTTGTTTGTACCATGATTTATTTTCCTTTGGGTAGATATCTAGTATTGGGATTGCTGAATCAAAGGGTAGTTCTAATTTTAGCCCTTTAAGAAATCTTCATACTGTTTTCCATAGAGGTTGTACTAATTTATATTCTCATCAACAGTATATAAGCATTCCCTTTTCTCTGCATTCTCACCAACATCTCTTGTTTTTGACTTTTTAATAATAGTTACTATTACTGGTATGAGATGATATCTCAGTGTGGTTTTAATTTGCACTTCTCTGATGACTAGCAATGTTGAGCTTTTTTTATATGTTTGTAGGTTTTGTAGGCTGATTGTATGTCTTCTTTTAAATGTAAGACCTGAAACTATAAAAATTTTAGAAGAAAACCTAGGAAAAACTCTTCTGAACATTGGCCTAGGCAAAGAATTTGTGACTAAGACCTCAAAAGCAAATGCAACAAAAATAAAAATAGACAAACAGAACTTAATTAAACTAAAAGGCTTCTGCACAGTGAAGGGAATAATCAACAGAGTAAACAAACAACCTACAGAATGGGAAAACATATTTGCAAATTATGCACCTAATACGGGACTGGTATCCAGAACTTACAAGGAACTTAAACAACTCAACAAGAAAAACAAATAAATAACCCCATTAAAAAGTGGACAAAGGAAATTTTTGTATTTAGTATATGCGTGAAATGTTTGTATTTTAAAATGTCAAAAGAAAAAAAAATTAGTACCTAACATTATCCTTTCGCACTGTGCCAAGAGTAGACATTCATTATAGTGCTTTTACATCTGTGAACACCCCCACTACATTGTGATCATTTCCTAGATTCCTTAACAGCTGGTAACAACCATGGAAATTAGGTCCTACCAATCAGCAAGACTATGCATGTGGAATTCAGTCTTCTCTGCATGAAACAGAGGAATCTGGTCCTTCTGGAGCATCAGTGATGGATCTAGAAGTACTCTAGGGTTGAGTAATGATGACAGTGATATTTACGCCAACAAGAGACCCTCTGTGTTTCTGCATCTCATTCCTGGCAGAATAATTCAGAGTCTGACTCTCTTTACCTACAGGATAGTGTGTGAGCTATCAAATATTATATAAGAAAAAACAGCAGCTTAAATTAGCCAGGGTAGCTTATGTTGTTTGCAACTGAAACCACACCAAGAAAATTCACTTCTCTCAATTACTCACTCCTGATTTTAGTTACATATGCACACAGACACACAGAATAGAGCCTGATATGGTTTCGTTTTATGTCCCCACACAAATCTCATCTCAATTGTAATCTCCCATGTCAAGGGAGGGACCTGGAGGGAAGTGATTTCATCATGGGGGAACTTTCCCCCACGCTGTTCTCCTGACATATACACTAAGTAAACAGAGCTCTGGTCTATATAACCCTGGGAACCAACCACATCCTCTCTGTACTACTTACCTCCAGACTTCTTTTACTTGAGAGAAAAATTAACTTTTACTTACATGACAATTTTTACTTTTAAAACTTTGTATTGACAGTTTCTAATAGCTAAGTGTGATTCCTGGCTGACTGATATATAATGTACTAGAGAGCCATTTATTAAAATGGTGAATTTTGGAATTGAAAAAGGAACATAAAAACATTTGGAATAAAAGTTAATCATCACCTTTCCACAATGGATGATTAAAGTATTAGGGAAAACGTTAATTAGAAACTGAGTAATTGATAGATCTGACTGACACCACCTCAACTCACTGGACAATAATATAAATAGCATCTCTAAGAGTGGGACAACTAAATATCATGTGTCTCAGGATATGATGCAATAAAAATAACATAGCAACTTAAGTCAATGGCATGACAAAAAAGTGGGGTCTGCTATGTTATAAAGGGACTGGAAAGACAATAACAAAATACATTGTGTGAACCTTGTTTAGATCCTAATTTTAAGAAATTACTTAAAGATCAATGGAGAAATTTGAACATGGCTTGTGTATTAGATGATATAAAGGAAATACTGATAATTGTGCTAAGTATCATAATGGTATTGTGGGCATGGTTTTTTAAAATGTCTTTATTAGTCACAGATTATACTAAATACATATGTGGAATATGTACATACATAACTTACACAACATAATAGTTATACAACATCTGGAATTTGCCCTAAAATTTTCCATGAAAACTAACAAACAAGGAGCTGTAGCTAATTAAAATAAGATTAGCAAAATGTTGATGTTGAAGCTGGATGGTGGCTACATGGAGTACATGGGGGTTCACTGTGCTCTTCTCTTTTATGTATGTTTGAAATGTTCTACAAGAAAAGAAGTTTAAAAGAAAAGGAATTCAGCTTTAGATTTTTAAAAACACATATCCTTAGATCTTGCAATTTAGGTGCTAAAAGTTTATTACAGGAAAATCCAGATGTAAACAATGTACAGTAAAAGAATAGAATACAACTAAAAATTCCCAAAATAGAATAACAAATCATGTTTAGCCATACGATGAAGCCCAGAAGAATAAAGAAATAGATGCTTGTTAATAGAAAAAGTTGTTCGTGACACAGTGTTCAGTGGAAAACCAGATTACAAACTCCATGATCCAACTTGTATGTATAAATATAAATACACATAGAAAGAAATTTTTAAATGTCATACAACAATAATATAAAAAACAATATTTCTAGGTTTATTTTGGTATTGCTGTATTATTTTTAAATATTTATGACATATTTAATAAAGAACTAATCAAAGTTTAAATAATTTTGATTATTTGACATGGATGGAATTGGAGGCTACTATCCTTCGCAAACTAACACAGGAACAGAAAATCAAATACCGTATGTCTTCACTCATAAGTGGGAGCTAAATTATGAAAACATATGGATACATAGAGGGGAACAACACACTGAATCCTACTTGAGGGTGGAGGTTGGGAGGAGGGAGAAGATCAGGAAAAATGATTAATGAGTACTAGGCTTAATACCTGGGTGATGAAATAATCTGTACAGTAAACCCCCATGACACAAGTTTACCTATGTAACAAACCTGCACATGTACCCTTGAACTTAAAATAAAAGTTAAAAAATTGTTGCCCTATCATTTTCATTTTTAGTATAACTGCAGAAGAGTTCAAAGAGAATGGTCGAATAAGACAAAGTTACTCCTCTCCAACCCATCCTGGAAGAGTCCCCAATGGAGGTGTCCGAAGTCCAAAATAACATCTTCATTACTCTCCTTCAATCAAGTGTTTCAGTTTGTTTGATACAGAGAATCTTCCGAAGTGCCTGATGCACCTCCTTGTTCCTCATGGTATAGATCACAGGATTGAAGAGAGGGGTGACCACAGTGTAGAGCAGGGAGAAGACCTTGGAGAGGAGCTGGGAATGGACAGCAGAGGGTGCAACATAAAAGATCATGAGCGTTCCATAGAATGTGGTCACTACAGCTAGGTGGGAGGAGCATGTGGAGAAAGCCCTTCTCCTGCTTGCCCCAGCAGGAACTCTCAGCACTGCCACCACAATTCTGGCATAAGATGTCAGAATCAGTCCAAAAGGAATAGTGAGGCAGAACACAGACAGAATGAGAGTTGTCACCTGAGCCACTCTGGGATCCGAGCAAGCCAGGCCCACGAAAAGCATAAAGTCACAGTAAAACTGGTCAATGTGGTTGGGGCCACAGAACCTCAGCTGGGCCACCAGGGCCACAACCAGTCCATCTACCACAAATCCAGAGAGCCAGGTTGTGACCACCAGCCCCATGTACCGTCTGGGCCCCATCAGGAGTGGGTAGTGGAGTGGGTAGCAAATTGCCAGGTAGCGGTCATATGCCATGACAGCCAGCAGTAAGCATTCAGCTGTGGCTAGAGAGCCGAAGATAAAGAACTGGAGCAAGCAACCAGCCACAGAGATAGTTGCTTCTTGCAGGAAGCCCTCCAGCATTTTTGGCATCACTGCGGAGGTGTAGAGAATATCCAGGAAGGACAGATTCGCCAAGAAAATATACATGGGTTTGTGGAGCCTCTGGGAGCTAACCACTGCTACAATAATCAGCATATTCCCTATGATGATGAAGACATAGACAGCAGTGAATACAATAAAAAACAAGAAATGCAGTTCAGGGATGTCATAGAAGCCAAGGAGGACAAATTCAGTAATAGTTTCGTTTCCTGTGGAGACAATTTCCATGTCGATCGTCCAAGTTTCTGCTTGGCAATAATTGGGGGAGAAATTTTAGCATGTCTCTGCATCTTCTATACCAAGCCTAACGTTATTAGAGCTAAAACAAAACAAAACAAAAAAGACAAAAATGAGTCTCTAAAACAAGACTCGCTCACGCAAGTCTTCAACTATCCCCCTTCTTAGTTGTCATTCCTTCCTCAACTCTCATCCTTCCCTGCCTTCCTTAATTGTGCATATTCTTTAACGCTCAGAAGAGTTTATCCAAACTCATAATTTTAGTCTTTCAAAGACCTTTACCCCATTAATTCAATCTACTACCTCTTTCGCATAATCACCTCTATCATTCTTATCTGTATAGTCAGCCATAGCCTCCTTCTTGTGCACCAGTATAATATTCTCCAAATGTGTGCTATATAGACATGGCCCACAACTGCAAACTCTTCTATCTTTCTCAATCACAACCAATTCCTCTATGAGTGGTTTGAGAATTCTGTCTAATCCCCATGGTCACTATCTCATTCTTCTCATTATCTCAACCGCCCCTTTCATTCCCCATCTCCTAATCAGTGATACCTTACCAACTGTTCCTCGGATAATTCTTATATATTCTTCACTTATTGCCTTCCTTAAATAGTAGTTTCATCAAGTCATTCAGGAGTTGGTAGTGAAAATGTGGTAAATGGTAATAGGGAAGGAAGTAGGTGCCATGGGAGCAGAGAAGGACCAAACCCAGCCTGGGGTTGTGGGGCAGAAGGTGTGGGATCAAGGTCGGGGAAGGCTTTCTGAAGATAGAAGCAAGTAGGCTAAGTTTTGAGGGCCAATTAAGAGTTGGCCAGGAGGCCGGGCTTGGTGGCTCACGCCTGTAATCCCAGCACTTTGGGAGGCTGAGGCGGGTGGATCACGAGGTCAGGAGATCGAGACCATCCTGACTAACACAGTGAAACTCCGTCTCTACTAAAAATACAAAAAAAATTAGCCGGGCGTGGTGGCGGGCGCCTGTAGTCCCAGCTACTCGGGATGCCGAGGCAGAAGAATGGCGTGAACTCAGGAGGCGGAGCTTGCAGTAAGCCGATATCGCGCCACTGCACCCCAGCCTGGGCAATAGAACGAAACTCCATCTCAAAAAAAAAAAAAAAAAAAAAAAAAAAAGAGTTGGCCAGGCAAAAGACAGGAAACCAGACCAGGCAGGGCATCCCTGGCAGGAAAGCATATGCAAAAGCAAAGAGTTGTAATTGAGCATGACACTTCTAAATATCTGAAAATGGCTCTGTCATACCTGCTGGAAGGTTTTCATATGCTATTCAAAGCAATATGTGTTTATTAACTGAAGACAATGAGAGAGAATACAGGGAATGATTAGAAACAGTTGAGAAAGGTAGAGAAAAAAAGCAGATATCATATAAATAAATATAAATACATAATACTAACAGTGTTACTTTCTAGAATATGGGATTAATAAACATACATTATATTTATTATCACAAAAAATGTAAGTTATCTTTAATACAAATAGTCTAGAACATCAGTTTCCTAAGAGGTGAAAAACTGGATGCCTCAGGGACCACAGTGCTGGGAGCCTTCACGGCACACTGTTTTGTAGTTTTGCCTAAGACCAAATCTGCCTTTTGAATGGAATCCCATTTTCCATACCTCTGCTCATTGCTAACGTTAAATCCTCGAAGACCCAGCTTAAGAACTTATCTCTACCAAGAATCCCCCTTGACTAATAGAGCCCTTTATTTCTCTCCCAATCATGTACTAAGGATCTAGTGTATAGAAGATATTACATCTGTTTCTGAGGATAGTGGGCCAAACAAAACTGGTCCATACTCTTAAGGAGTTTACACTCTTGTGTGACAGATGGACATATCAACAGAAAATTGCAATACGCCAAAAGACAGTTAATGAATTCAACCTGAAAGAAATAGTACTAGGAGGAAGTGATGCTGAACTGATGAGTGATTGCAGTGGAAAATGGAAAGAATGGAGGTGAGGGCATTTTAGGTAAAAGGAAAACCATGAGTACACACTGAGGCAAGAAACAACATTGGATGTGAGGAGGAGAAAGAGGTAGCAGGGGGTAAGTAGCCAAGGGTAGCTCAAACAATCCCCTCGATTCTGAAGGAGAATTAGGATTGAGGTGAAGAATGGGGGAAGACAGGGAGAGAAAGGGGCCAGGATCAGAGTCTGGGGACCCTTGCTTGTCACAAGAAGGAACTAGAGCTTCATTCTATAGGCAGCAAGGCACAGCTGAAGGCTTTTAAACAGTACAGTGGCATGTTTCAACCTAAATTTAAATAGTATTATGGAAGCTACATCCAAGGTAACAAGAGTGAAAGAAGGGATGGCCCCACTCATCTGATACCTGATGTGCAAATACATGCTGCCTTGAGTTCATCATTAATTATCTTATGGTATGCACTTTCTCTTTTCCAAAAGACTAAAAGTTCATTTAGCACAGGATTTAAATTTTTATAAGTGCTACTGTACCGAAGTCTTACAAAAAGATATATTCTCAATGAATACTTAATGTTTAACACCATGTCTTCCTTAACCTAAACCCATATGAATTGATCAGAGAAGAATGCTGTTCTTCATAGACTACAAAATTCCACAGGTTCTGTTATTGCCCTCCAACTCCCGTCTCTAAAGCTATTCTCTTACCCTTTGATCCCATCTGCATTTCCTTGTGAGTGAATCTGGCACTCCCTATGTGGGCCATCTTTAACTCTAGATTATTTTATCTGGTCCAAACTCATTCTGAGGCTTGGAGTCTTTCTATAGGATTCCTGCCAGGAGAGAGGTGAGCATGTAAATCAGGCAAGAATACCTCTAATAATAAATAGCTCATGACCACTACCTCCCCTGGAAATCAAGAGTATCATTGGAGCTGGAGGCTATTATTTTAAGTGAAATATCTCAGAAACAGAAAGTCAAATATTGCATATTCTCATTTATAAGTGGGAGCTAAATAATGTGTGCACATGAACACAGAATTCAGAATAATAGACATTGGAGACTTGGAAAGGTGAGGTGGGAAGGGGTGAGGGATGAGAAATTACCTAATGGGTATAATGCACACTATCTGTGTGATGGTTACACTAAAAGCCCAGACTCAATCGCTACACAATATATTCATGTAACAAAACTGCACTTGTACCCCTAAATCTGTAAAAGTAGATATGAAAAGAAAAGAAATGGGAAAAACACAGAAACAGTAGGATATATGAGAGGCTGTTATTCCCTTAAAGACAGAGGGGAATCAGGGAATAGAGGAAGTTGATGAATTTAGAGTTGAAAACTCCAAGGAATAGAGCTGAATTTGGAATTGGAAAACTCAAAAAACTGCAGGAAGAGTTTGAAATCAACAGGAATTTCACCATACTGACTGGTAGAGAAGTGAGAATAGTGCAAAATGCCTGTTTGTTGTCTAACGAACAATCAGCCACACACTCAATTCTAAGTAAAAACCATAACCCTCATTCAACCCAGACTCTGAGATAGCATAGAGTCCTTAATTAAAACGAGCAATTCAAAGAATATTCCAGGAAAAAATATTTTAAAAAATATATACAAAACTGTACATTTTAATTCATCTTTAGGTATTAGAAAAAAATTTATTCTCATATTTTGAAATGTCTGCTAAACAAACATGTTATGTTTGTAAGCAGAAAACCAAAAAGTTAATTCAGTTTGATTTTTTTAATCTGTTAATTCTCCTCAAGTCTCTTCAGTAATTACTCCATAATAAAACATTAAAATATACTTAAAAGGTTTTAAAAGAAAACAGTATAATTTTAAGTATATCCCAGTTTTGTCAAGCCATGGGATAGCAGGAGGAAAACTTTCCACCATGAAAACATTAGTATGAGGGTGTCTCGCTTCTTCCTACTCTGTAACATATCAACTGAAGCTTGGGGAGCATGAATATCTACTGTTCCCCATCTCCAAAAGAGAAGAGAGAATTAAAAAAATAAGTCAGTATGCACCCAGAAGGATTAGAAATCAACTTTTAAAAACATCCAATGGAGAAAAGAGCAGCACTGGTATTCTAGAGAAATACTGCGGGACTTCTTGAAATGATTTTTAATAAAAGACTTTTTGACTCTCTGGGTTAATTGAAAGTTGCTAGTGATTACAGGATAAACAGCTATAAAAACCAGCCATTTAACTTTTTTAAAGAATCTGTGAACTAAGCTGTAAAGAATTTTACAAAAATAAACGTACCCGAAATATCGACCCTGTTCTCTAAAGACAGGACTGTGAGGAGGAGATGATCTGCTAAGATTTGCTGAAGACTTCAGAATGTTGGAATTTCCTACCTTCAGCTCCCTCCCTGCTTGAGCTCAACCTGAAGTAACGTAGAACATTGATTACAAATGTCACCCTTGTTACCCTCCACTCCTGAGCCATTTTCTCTTCCACCCTCCATCCCCTTTTCTAGCTCTCAGGCTATTCTGTCCTTTCATCGCAGTCCTTTCCCTCTATCACATGGGAGGGCAGGAAATTGCCACAAAGGGAGAGGCCCCTGAGAACCAATTACAGATTTACTGGAGAGCAGCCTGAAATGAGCAAGACATAGCAGGCCCCTAAGGAAATTGTATTTTTTCAAAGGCGGTTTCCTGAACTGTTGGCTTGACCATAAACGGAGCAGAAACCAAAAGAGCCAAATGGAGCCCACCTTTCCATCCCCTTGGGGACAAATGCTCTCCATTTCACCAAACATCTAAAGCCCCAATTCCTAGTCTCCATAACTCACCAGAAAATTCTGATTTCTCTGCAACATCCCTAAATTCCCCATTACCAACAGTGGTCCTCCCAGGAGCCTGCCCTCAACTTTCATTCTCCAATCTACAGCCTCCAAATCGCCCTCTTACCATCCCAGGCAATTGTTTCAATAGGTACCACCCTTAGTAGGGGTGTTTTATATAGATCATCAAAATCTTGCCAATGCTGAGCCTGATTTAAGGAGAAGGAAGGTGGCGTGATGTTACAAAATGACGTTGAAATGGTTATGTAGCGTTTCAATATCCTTCCTGACCAAATTACTGCCCAACAACTTTGTCTGCCACTACTCCCTTTTTTGAAGCTTCCACAGAAATCAGGCTGATATATTTATTTCTCATCCCTAGGAGTGTGTTGAAGGCACTTCTGTGTCATTTATCAAACTCAGACCCTAACTTCAGCTCCACTTTCTCCCTGACCAACCGAGAACACTTTTTCTCTGAACTACGTTGTCTACTATCTGTAGTTCACAGTAAATGCCACCCTATTTTTTCTTGGCAGCAGGAGGGGTTCTCTTAATCGTTTATTTTTTTCATCAAACAGCAGCATATGCTAAAAGGTAAGTATATGTGTCTTGAAAAGAAAACTTTTGGAAAAATGTAGCATTTTTTAGTTAGCCTACATTATTATGATTTTTAATTGACAAATTAAAATTGTATATATTTATGATGTATAACATGATGTTTTGACATATGTATACATCATGGAATGACAAAATCAAGCTAATTTACATGAACCATTACCTCACATACTTATCATGTTTTTGTGATGAGAACACTCAGATCTACTCTTTTAGCAATTTTCACATATACAATTCATTAATTATAGTCACCCTTTCATATAATAGATCTCTTGAATTATCTCTCTTGTCTAACTGTAATTTTTGTAACCTTTGACCAATATCTTCTCAATTTTCTCCCTTTCTTCCAGCCCCTGGTAACCACCATTCTATTCTCTGTTTCTGTGAGTTTGACTTTGTAGATTTCATGTAGAAGGGAGACCATGAGGTATTTGTCCTTCTGTGCCTGACTTATTTCAGTTAATATAAGGTCCTCCAGATTCATCCATGTTGTTGCAAACAACAGAATTTCCTTCTTCTTTAAGGCTGAATAGTATTCCACTATGCATATATACCACATTTTCTCTATCCATTCATCTGCTGAGGGATGCTTAGGTTTATTCCACATCTTGGCTATTGTGAATAATACTACAATGAACATGAAAGTGTAGATCTCTCTTCTTATTTCCTTTGAATATATACACAGACAAGGGATTGCTGGGTCATACAACGGTTCTATTTTTAATTTTTTCAGAATTTTTCAGAAACCTCCACAGTGTATTTAATGACTGTACTAATTTACGCTTCCACCAAAAGTGTATGAGTTCTCCTTTTCCACATTTTCATCAACATTTATCTCTTATCTTTTCTGTAGTAGGCATTCTAACAAGTGTGAGGTGATATCTTATTGTGAATTTAATTTGTATTTCCCTGATGACTAGTGATGTTGAGCATTTTTTCTTGTACCTGTTTGTCATTTGTACGTCTTCTTTTGAGAAATGTCTATTCAGGTGCTTAGCTCATTTTAAAATTGAGTTATTTGTTTCCTTGTTATTGATTTGTTTAAGTTCCTTATATAGCTTGAATTTTAGCCACTTACATGTATCATTTACAAATATTTTCTCTCAACCTGTGGGTTGTCTTTTCACTCTATTGTTTCCTTTGCTGCGGAGAAATGTTTTAATTTGATGCAATCCCATTTGTTTACTTTTGGTTTTGCTGTCTGTGATTTGAGGATCATATACAAGAAATCTTGCCCATACCAACGTCATGGAACTTTTCTCCTATATTTTCTTCTAATAGTTTTACAGTTTGCAGTCATATGTTTAAGTCATTAATCCATTTTGAGTTAATTCTCATATATTGAGTGTCATAAGGATCCAATTTCATTCTTCTGCATGTGGATATTCAGTTTTCCAACATCATTTATTAAAAAGACTTTTCTTTCACCGTTTCATGTTCTGTTTATATGATCATATGGTTTTATCTTTAATTCTGTTAATGTTATGTATCACATTTATTGATTTGTGTGTTGAACCATCCTTGCATCTCAGAGCTAAATCTCACTTGATCATGGTGAAAGATCCTTTTAGTATACTGTTAAATTTGGTTTGATAGAGAAACACAACTTCAGAGATAATTCAAGTTTAAGATGGGAAAGTCTGACTAATCTTAATTCTTACAGATATTTTAGCAAACTTTTTGTCAAAATACATTTTATGGACTTTTTAAGGTCATCAGTTCAGACCACAGTCCCATGGATAAAGACAAGGATCTGTGGGGAGTAGATGTTTGTATTGTTAATCACCCTGGTGAGAGGTTAATCCTGGGGTATAAATGAAGTCTCCAAAAGTAGGTGATATATTAGCATGAAAAATACATTTCTACCTTCCCTTGTGTCCTGGGGTCAATTTGGCCTAAACTGCAAGACGTGAAAAGATTATAAGTAGTTCCAAATGAAATGAAATATACCCTTGGCCACATAAATTACCTAGTGGAATTCAAGTGTGTGTGGATCAGTATAACAGCATATAATTCTCTGCACTACATTTACTTTCCACTAAGTTAGAACTACAGTAAATTATTCTATAAGCTACAACTTGATATATGTTGTACTAGGAGAATTCTAAGAGGGCCTGTGGCCTTGCTTAGAAAAAGCAGGTACAGGGGACAGTGGTTGCTGTTCCCACAGCCAGGGTGGAGAAAGCAATGTCAACCACTGCAAAGGATGACAAAATAAAAAGAGTCAGTCAGCTCTCACAGAGCAGCAGCTTGAAGGCACAGAAAAGACACAAGAGAGGAAGGACCAGAGGAGACATTCCTGAACACATCTTGCAAACTCTCAGAAGTGACTATGGGATGCTTCACGGGGGCTAACTTCAAGCTCAAGTTTGACAACCATTTATGTTGTTTGGCTTTGGTCACATATATATCCTATTTTGTATCAGTAATTCCAGTTGGAAAAGAAACCACACATTTCCATGAGTCTCCCATGTTACTAAAATATTTCATAAGCTCGAGCTCAGTGATGTTTTCTGATTATTTGTTCCTTAGACTCCAGCCTAGGCATCCAAGGCAATCTGAATCCATAGAAACTTTAATAACAGTACATCATGGACCTAACCCAAAATATTGTTCAATCTCTTATCTTTGAAAACTTCTTGAGGATTAACAATATATTTTAATACAAAAGAGATAGTATTCAACCCAGCAGGATTTTACAAAAACAAATTATAGCTCTTTGTGGTTTCTGTTAGAGATTTACATAGTCTTACCATTTAGATTTCTTCTTCACTAGACTACGAATTAGAAGTAAATATTATCCAGGGCAGATGGTGTATCCTATTCATCTTTGTATCCCAAGAATATTTTAGCTGTGTCATAAATGATTAGTGAATAAGTAGCAATGCATGAATGCATGAATGAAAAAATAAAAATGGTCACTTGATTCATAATCCCTGGCCTTCTAAAAATATATTAACACAATGTCCGGTTGAAAAGAAAGTTCCAAACATTCCACCAGTAGACATGACTAGCAATAGAGTTGACCTTCATTATTTGTGGATTCAGTATTTGCAAAGTCACCTGCTCCCTAACATCTATTTTTAACCCCTAGCTCAATACTCACAGCACCTTCGCAGTCGTTCATGGACAAGTGCATGAACACAGTGACAAAAAGTTTGAGACACACTGTATGCATCCCCACCTGATGCTGAGCAAGGAAACGCTCTGTCCTCTTGTTTCAGCTATTATACTGTAAACAAGTGTCCTTTTCATGATTTCCTGATTTGCTGAATGCCATATTTTTCACATTTTTTGTTTGTTTTTTGGTGATTTCATAATTCAAAATAGCCCCAAATGTAGCGCTGAAGTGCTGTCCCATGCTCCTGAGCACAAAAAGGTTGCAATGGATCTTACGGAGAAAATGCATTTGCTAGATAAGCTCTGTTCAGGCATGTGTTATAGGGCTGTTGGCTGTGGGTTCAACGTTAATGATCAACGATATATATTATATAAGATGTGTTTAAACAGAAACACACTTACAATAAGGTTATTTATTGATCAGGTGACAAAAATGTGACCAAAAACTCATAGGAATCTAACCCTGCATCTCCCCTAAAGCAAGGAATTATTTAATATTTGCTCCTACAGGGTTCAAGGCAACTTTATAGAATGCAACTGCAGTGAATAATAAGAATCAGCTGTGTCTGCATTTTAAAGATGAGAAATATGAGTCTCATTAAAATGAAGTGAATTGTACAAAGTTATAGAATAGGTTAGTCATAGAGCCAGCATTAAAACCCTGGCCTAGTTCAGTGCTCTGTCAGCTGTATCTTCAGTTCTGAAAATGCAATAAGAAAAGATAAAATACGGAATTCAGTCGGCCAGTGGCCCGCAATCCTCTTCTCTCGGTTCCTCTTTCCTCGCTCAAGATGGCGCTGCTCGCGAAGCGTTCTTGGCGTTGGGCGGCCGCAGCGGCTGCTTTCGAAAAGCGCCAGCACAATGAGATACCATCTCACACCAGCTAGAATGCCGATCATTAAAAAGTCAGGAAACGACAGGTGCTGGAGAGGATGTGGAGAAATAGGAACACTTTTACGCTGTTGGTGGGACTGTAAACTAGTTCAACCATTGTGGAAGTCAGTGTGGCGATTCCTCAGGGATCTAGAACTAGAAATACCATTTGACCCAGCAATCCCATTACTGGGTATATACCCAAAGGATTATAAATCATGCTGCTATAAAGACACATGCACATGTATGTTTATTGTGGCACTATTCACAATAGCAAAGACTTGGAACCAACACAAATGTCCAACAATGATAGACTGGATTAAGAAAATGTGGCACATACACACCATGGAATACTATGCAGCCATTCTGCATCTTTCTAATGACAAGAATATTCTCCAGCATAACCACAATACTATTATTACACCCAAGGGAATTAACATTGAACCAATAATATAAAACCCATATTCAACTTTCCCACTTGTTCCAAATCTTTTTTATAGTTGTTTTTATTTTGTTTTGTTGATGACGTAGGATCCAGTCAAAAATCATGAATGACATTTTATTGCCATGGCTTTTGGTCTTCTTCAATCTGGAACGATGTCATCTCCCATCTTTGCTTTGTCTTTAAAGACATGGATATTTTTTAAGAGTTTGTGTCAGTTGTCTATAGAATATGCCACAATATGGATTTGTCTGACTGTTTTCTTATACTCCAATTAAACATTTTTAGCAATAATACTACATAGGTTACACTAAGAGTGGACAAATAGCAATCCAAATTATTCTACTCCATTCTGTTCCCTGTAACATTAATGGCATCATCTTCAGCCATAACAGGGCTACACTCTGGGAGTAGATGACTGATGAGCTGAGAGAAAACAGATTCCTGAGGAATTCTGGATCAGAGCAGCCATATTTCCCTGAACTACAAATCTTTAGACATTTAAGTGAGAGATAAATTTTCATTCTCTTTGAGCCATTGGCATTTCCATTACTTTCAGCCAAATCTAATAAATAAATGAAATGATAAAATATAAAGGAGTCAGAAGAAAACTAAGTACGAAATCCAGTTTATGTAAACCCTGAACTTCTAGTTATATAAATTAATAAGTAAATTTATTACTTAAACCCGTTGGAGTTGGGGCTTGTTATAATGGTTGGTATGTCTTGAAAACATTCTATTTGACACACAGCTTTTATCACATCTATGAAAATGTATAAAAACACAGAAGAAACAAATCAAATAATAGATACCAATGATAAAAATGCAAAGAAAGATTTGTATAATAAATGAAAAAGAAATCAAAGCAAGAAAAATTAGTGACAATTGTATAAGAAAATGACATTTAGCACCTCAATTAGGTCAAAACATGTTTATTTCTCTTTTATATTATTAGTTACCTGTAGAATCAATAAAACCTGCAAGGGACCCTATAAATAGTTATCAAATAAATTGATTACTGGATTATATCAATATACATAAGAAGGGTAAAATTGCATTATTACTTTTTGTAGATGTACTAGAACATCTACAGTGATGGGAAAAAATCATGAGAAAAAAGAAGAAAATTAAAATGGTTGAACCAGAGATATGGGAGAACTAAGAGAAACCAATAGCTCTGGATATATTCTTTGAAATGTTCTTAACAGGTCATTCTGTATTTCTTGCAATCTAAGAAACAGATTCAAAATAACAGATTAATTGGTTTTGTGAAGCATTCTCCCCATTGGAAAGCCAAGAATGCTTGGAGACTCAGATCCTCAGAGAGCTTAAAGAGAGACAACAAACCTAAGAGAGGCTTCCTCAAGAGGGATCCACTATGTAGATAAAAAAGAAGATAAGCAAGTCACAAATGCCATCTGCCTTCACTGGTTATTTCTCCAAATAGAAAATAGAAAGACACCTTTGAGATAATATCTTCTGGAAAACACTGAAAGAGCCCCCAGAGGAGAATGAACCAAGGGCTCTTCAACTGCAAAAGGATATCAGTGTGTGGACTTGTATTTCTAATACACAACCTTGAATATGGCTGGAATATTGAATTTGTGTATATATTCAAGTGTATCTTTGGGTGTTTATAGTTTTATGTTCAGTGTATTTAGACTTTTACTGTTATCTGTAATAATGCCAATAGAATACATGATTTGCAACTTTAGATAAATCTGGCATCTGGGAATATTAGGCTATTCTTCTGTGCCTGTATTTTGAAATATAATTTGACAGTGTGTGAATTTGTGGAGTTTATGTGTGTAGTTTGGGGATTTTCATGTTTACAATGTAAGAGGACTAAGTTTGAAAGTCTGTAAGATGCAGAAATAAGCAATTAAGGAAGTTCTTGTCATCTTTTGCCTGAGCATGTTTTAAAACTAGAGAAATGCTCACCCCTCTAAATAGTTGAACTGTTTAATGCTATAGGAGCTTAAAAAGAGAGGATCTTTCTCATTTTTTTTCTCCTCCTTGAACACTGTGAAATTTATGGTAAAATGACAGAAAAAGAAGAAAGACTAAGTGAATCTGGTAACTAAAGAAAGAGCTGGAAAAAAGAAAACTAGAGGGCAAGAGGTGATAAGAGAGGTCACCTCTTATCAGACAGGAGACAAGTTGATGGAGAAAAAGATCTGCTATGAGGGAAAATTCTGTCTCCAGCCCTGCAGGAAGAATTGGAAAATCAGAAAAGAGTGAAAAGGGAGCTAGACTGACTTAATCTTCAGCCCAGGTAAAACTGGAAAGACAGTTTAACATGTTCTTTAGAATGATAGGCACTATCAGGAAGAGATGAAGTCAGGGATTCAGGCTCAGAGAGACAAATACTCATCCAGGATCCCAAGAGTGAGCAAGGGTGGAATATGGACTCCAGGCAAGGCTGCCTAATTTCAAAGTCCATGATATTCTAATAGAAAGGGAGATCTAGTGCTGCGATCAGATGCAGAGAGAGGTCATCTTTGCCCATTTCACGATTCCATAGTTGTGATTTTTCCTTGCCATTTCTTTTGTCTTCCAGTCAAAGGTATGCAGGCAGGATGAGTGCAAACACCTCCATGGTGACTGAGTTTCTTCTTCTCGGCTTCTCCCACCTGGCCGACCTCCAGGGCTTGCTCTTCTCTGTCTTTCTCACTATCTACCTGCTGACCGTGGCAGGCAATTTCCTCATTGTGGTGCTGGTCTCCACTGATGCTGCCCTCCAGTCCCCTATGTACTTCTTCCTGCGCACCCTCTCGGCCTTGGAGATTGGCTATACGTCTGTCACGGTCCCCCTGCTACTTCACCACCTCCTTACTGGCCGGCGCCACATCTCTCGCTCTGGATGTGCTCTCCAGATGTTCTTCTTCCTCTTCTTTGGCGCCACGGAGTGCTGCCTCCTGGCAGCCATGGCCTATGACCGCTATGCAGCCATCTGTGAACCCCTCCGCTACCCACTGCTGCTGAGCCACCGGGTGTGTCTACAGCTAGCTGGGTCGGCGTGGGCCTGTGGGGTGCTGGTGGGGCTGGGCCACACCCCTTTCATCTTCTCTTTGCCCTTCTGCGGCCCCAATACCATCCCGCAGTTCTTCTGTGAGATCCAGCCTGTCCTGCAGCTGGTATGTGGAGACACCTCGCTTAATGAACTGCAGATTATCCTGGCAACAGCCCTCCTCATCCTCTGCCCCTTTGGCCTCATCCTGGGCTCCTACGGGCGTATCCTCGTTACCATCTTCCGGATCCCATCTGTTGCGGGCCGCCGCAAGGCCTTCTCCACCTGCTCCTCCCACCTGATCGTGGTCTCCCTCTTCTATGGCACCGCACTCTTTATCTATATTCGCCCTAAGGCCAGCTACGATCCGGCCACTGACCCTCTGGTGTCCCTCTTCTATGCTGTGGTCACCCCCATCCTCAACCCCATCATCTACAGCCTGCGGAACACAGAGGTCAAAGCTGCCCTAAAGAGAACCATCCAGAAAACGGTGCCTATGGAGATTTGAAAAGGGGGCGATAGTGACTTCTGTGCAGTGCTCTGAGTCAGTCCCAAATACCTAAGGATCAAAGAGTCTCCCTTAAGGTCTTTCTTCACATTAGGGGAGGGCCAGCCTGTCAGAAAGACAAACTTATCTTTGAAAAGCTACCGTAGTCAAATGCGCTCCTCAGACCCTCACAACACATACATATTCTATTCCGCTTTCTGTTGCAAGAAACAAGAAACCCAGGATGGAGGATCAATTTCAGAAGCAGAGCAAGTTGACAACCAGGGATAAAGTTACAAAATATTATCCTTATCAGACTAGCAAGGTAATAAAATTTTCAGCCACAACAATGATCCTTAAAGTCATTTGACATTTGTACGTCCTAGGTAAGGCATTTGTTTCTTGGGTGGTACTACTGGTTAGTACCTTAGCAAACATAATTATACCTAATTAAATCTACTACCAGCTAAAGACAGATTCCTCAAGAAGTAAGGAGTGGCCACAAAAGTTTCAATGAAGGTAAGTTCTTATGGAAATTCATATGCCGCAGAGGTTAAGAGAACAGATTCTGATGTCAGACAGACTTAAAGTCAAGTCTTATTTTTTCCAGCTAGTTAGCTAAGTGATCACAGGTGAATGATATAATCTCTCTGAGCCTTAATTTTTTTAAATTTTATTTTAGATTCAAGGGTACATGTGCAGGTTTGTTATATAGGTAAATTTCACCTCACAGTGATTATTTAGTCACCCAGGTAATAAGCATAGTACCTGATAAGCAGTTTATTGATCCTCACCCTTCTTCTATCCTCCACCCTCAATTATGTCCTGGTATCTGTTGTTCCTTTCTTTGTGTTCATGTGTACTCAGTGTTAGGTCCCACTTTTAAGTGAGAATATATGGTATTTGGTTTTCTGTTCCTGTGTTAGTTTGCTTAGAATAATGACCTCCAGTTCCATCCATGTTGCTGCAAAGGACATAATCTGTTTGTTTTTTGTTTTGTTCTGTTTTGTTTTTATGTGAGCCTTAATTTTCTTATCTATAAAGTTGCGGTAACAACAGAGTCTAATTCATTGGGTTTTTGTGAGGATTTGTAGACTTGCAAACAATCAAGCTTAATATCTGGCACAAAATAGTATCTTGATAGATGTTTTTGTTAGCAAGTCAGACAGGTCAGCGCAAAGGCTAATGTTTGGCTCACATGGGGTGACTTTGCTGGGAAGAGAAGGGTATTCTTGAAATATCAGTGGCATTGGAACCCACAAGAGACCCAGAGGAAGGTGGAAGAAGAGGCTCTATACATCACTGTTAACAGAAACTGCTACCCAGCACAGATATGAGCCAAAAACTACCAAGACACGGAAGAGCAAATATAAGGGCTATGATATGCAGGAGAGTCAGTGAACTGCAGAACAAATAAGTGGAATAAGCTGAGAGGGTGAATCAAAAACAGCCATCTCCAAGAGGCAAGTATTTATTAATAATTAAAAGTGCAATCTACATACTTTATATCATTCCAACACTTTATTCAAATGCAACAGTATTTATTGCAAACTTTCTATGTGCCTATTGCTCTTTGGCACTGTGGAGAATATCAAGTACATACAGGGTGGTGATTCTGTCCAGAGAGCACTTGCTGTCCTGTTAAGAAAGCACTGATTCTCATGAAACTATCAGAGAACAGTTTGCAAAGTAAGAAAACACTCAAAATGTAAAGCGAAAAGACAAAGGTGTTACTCCCTGTCCCCACCCCCCAAAAGGGGTTGTGTGGCCTTCCTCAAACTCATTTTATCAATGTGGAAAACCTCACAACTACTGCTCTTCAATTGAACAAAACTGCAATAGCGAGGAACAGCATTTAAGAAGGGTTGCCTAAAGGATTGTCAAAACAGCTTTTCCTCTGATAATTTAAAATCTAAATCTTATCCCCAAGCTAAAGCAGATGAGCACAGAGCTACACATTTAAAATGCTGAAATATTTCCACTTCCTACATATCTCCATCAACTCATCTTTCCTAGAACTGGTCTTGCTAAAGAGTGTTTTGGCATTAAGCCATTGGTTTACATTGAGAAAGATTACAAGAAGCAACATTATGAAACTCTCAGAGGGATCATTTTTCTCATATCTCAGTGATAGGAATCACTGTATTTTTCCTGTCATATAAGCAATAACATTTCCTCACAGTTTTATGGAAGTACAATTGGCATATGACAAATTGTACATGTTTAAGTGTGCAATTTGATAAGTTTTGACCCATGTATGCACCATGACATTATAGGCGCAATCACGAAATGAACATATCCAGCCCCCGTGCTCCCTCACACTCCATTGTAATCTCTCTCTTTCACCCCTCCCTGCACTCCTCATTCCCAAGCAACCTCTGATCTGCTTCCCAACACTATATTTTTCTTTTTTCAGAGTTTTATATAAATGAAATTATAAAATATGTACTCTTTTTAGTCTGACTTATATTTGGAGATTTGGCCATGTTGTGGTGTGTACAGCAGCCATTCCTTTTCATTTCTGAGTGATACTCCATTGTATAGATATGACATAATTTGTTCATCCATTCACCTGCTGAAGGAAATTTGGGTTGTTTTCACAATTTTTTATTCATTCACCTGCTAAAGGAAGTTCAGGTTGTTTCCAGTTTTTGGTTCATAGAATGAAGGTTCTATGAACATTTGTGTACAAAGTCTTTGTATGCTTTCATTTCTCTGGGGTAAATACATAGATGTGAAATGGCTGCATCACATGGGAAGTGTATGTTTAATTTTTTAAGAAATTAAGTAATCACTTTTCCTCTTAACATGACAGCTAGCAAGTTTCCACCTGAATTTGTAACTCATCTCCAGGAAATGTGCAATTCCTCACGATATATTTTTGAGATATCTAGTTTCTGGTCTCACTTGCTGTTGTTGTTGTTGTTCTATTCTACCTTTTTCTTTGTCCAGTCTCTCTCATCCTTATTTTCTGTACATTTATGTAACCCAGCACATTAGTCTTTCTGGAGCAAGACTTAGAGCCACCAATCAGTAATTAAAAAAAAAAAAATAGACAGGGGAAAGTATTGAATGGAAAATCCCTGGTTATATGGTTTGGCTCTATGTCCCCACCCAAATCTCATCTTGTAGCTCCCATAATTCCCATGTGTTGTGGGAGGGACCTGGTGAGAGATGATTGAATTATGGGGGTGGATGTTTCCTGTGCTGTTCTTGTGATAGTGAATGGGTCTCACATGATCTGATGGTTTTAGAAATGGGAGCTGCCCTACACAAGCTCTCATTTTTCCTGCTACTATCCATGTAAGATGTGATTTGCTCCTCCTTGCCTTCCACCATGATTGTGAGGCCTCCCCAGTCATGTGGAACTGTAAGTCCAATAAACCTCTTTGTTTTGTAAATTGCCCAGCCTTGGGTAAGTCTTTATCAGCAGTGTGAAAACAGACTAATACACCTTGGTAAAGATTGAAGACATGGGTTGTGATCTCTACTCCGTTACTAAAACTTTACAGGACCTAGAGCAAACTCTTTGCATCATCTTTTTGGTTTTCAATTTCATCATCAATAAACATAAAGGCTAAATCAAATGAGCTCTGGATTGAGTTCCAGATCCACTATTCTGTGCTTATTTGTCCCAAGGACTATATGCTTCTTATAGCTGATACTCTCACAAAGAACCAGAAGGAAGATTGCAGCAAATGCTCTTTCTCCACCATAGATAGCTACCAAGGGACCTTGAACTACATTAATCCTGGGCAATATAAGCACAGTCATTGGTTTTCAAGACAAACACCACTCAAAAGCTAGGGAGAGTCCATCAGTGATCCCCATATTGAGTCTTCCCCCACTGTATTCTACCTTCCTGAACCTCACATCTCCCTTACTCACACCTGCCATTGCCCCTGAGCAAAACTTGACCTGCTTCTTGAAATCCCACTGCTCTGTCCCTAATATTTCCTCCTACCAACCTTTCTCCCTGACACTCCCTTCCTCAACTTCCCTAATCCCATGGGACCCACTCACTATAGTGCACCCCAGCTCCTGATGGTATCTGCTACCAGAAGTATCCTCATTCTTTCTTTCTTTTTTTTTGACAGGATTTTACTCTTGTTGCCCAGGCTAGAGTGCAGTGGCACGATCTTGGCTCACTGCAACCTCTGCCTTCTGGTTTCAAGCGATTCTCCTGCCTCAGCCTCCTGAGTAGCTGGGATTACAGGAGCCTACCACCATGCCCAGCTAATTTATGTATTTTTAGTAGAGACGGGGTTTCACCATGTTGGCCAGGCTGGTCTCGAACTTCTGACCTCATGATCCACCTGCCTTGGCCTCCCAAAGAGCTGGGATTACAGGCGTGAGCCACTGTGCCCAGCCAGTATCCTCATTCTTTAGCTTTGCAGAACTGAAGTAAGAAGTGACTGTGGCATCAGGGAGGGAGGGTAGAAGTCAGATGGAAGGGAAGGGAGAAGGAGAGAAAGAAGAAACAGAGGCAGGCTGAAGAACTGAGCAGAGAAAAGAGAAAGAACAAAAAAGACCTCAGAGGAAGACTCACCGGCTCACAAGGAAAGCCATCTCTGTGCATCCCAGGCCAATCTCTTCACAGGGCTTGGAGAAACCTCCCAACCAGAGCTCACTCCCACAGTCTATGCTCACTGCTTCCCTGCATCAGCTCCTCCTGTGGCAGCATGGTCCCCCTGCGTTTCTGCTCCCCACTGAGCTCTCTGGGATTCACAAATCAGTGCCCTAGGGAGGGCTTGGAGAGCCTAGCACGTGGGGATCTTACACAGGGGCCAGGAAAGGGATGTAGGACTCAGGAAGAGACACTGAACAAAGGCTGTGGCTCAGTCCTGGAAATGGGAGCGTGTGCTTGTCCATTGCCAGCCTCTCTGCCTCTCTAGGTTGTGTGCCCTCACTGGCCTTAACTCTTTCCAGTCAGGGAAGACTAGGAAAGAGTTGGAAGAGGAAATATTGTAGAAGAAAGAAGAGAACTCAGGTACATCAGGGCCACCAAGAAACAGGGGCTCTGGGTCTCCCAGGGACATAAGGAGAAGGATTAGGAGCTGACCAGGCTTGCTACACAAAAGATTCCAGGGTTGATCCTCTGAGAGTTGAGAAAAACAGAAAGTGGGATCTCAGTGCAAACTTCAAGCTTCAAAGATGCCACCCATCATCTATTCAACTTTTTTTTTCTTTTGGCTAACCCTTTACACTTCTTTCAAGTCTGCGAATAATTATCAAGTTCCCACAGTGTGCCTTATTCTACATAGTGCTGGCAATCTGGTCAACTTCCTTTGTATTTCTCCTCTGCTCAGCTTTTCAGTGGATCCTCTTCATTCTCCTTCATTCTCACTGCAGCCCAGACCCACTTCCTCCCTTCCCTGAGCTTCCCTTGCCTATCTCCCTCCTCATCACCCAATCCCATTTCCTGCAAGAAGAGGCAATATTATTAATCTGTCTCATCTACCATAACCACCACCTGGTTTGTGCAATAGCATTTTCTGGATGTTTCCTCTCCTGGCAGCCAGGACTGACAATGTCACCTGCCAGGGGCCTGGAAAGCCAAGCCACAACCTTCTTAACCAATTAGAGGCACTGCAGAGAAGCAGCAGGAGTCAGGGCACTTGCACCCAAGAATGATAGATATATTTATTCACCACATATGTATGGATATAGTTAGAGAAACAAGCCTCAAGGCACAACGATTGACTGAGGTTAGACATTCGGCCACTTGAGAGAATGAGGAGGTGGAAGCACAGAAGTTAAAAGTCATCTCTCTCCCATTTGCTTCAACCTCAGCATGCCTGAAAAAAACATGGTTGATAATATACCAGTCAGTGACCAAGCCCTAATGAAATGACTGACTTACCAATACTGACTTCTCAGGAGGCTGATTTAGAGCCAAAGTAACTGCTGAGTTCTGAATAAGCAGCACACCTGGTCTGCATAATAAGATCCATTTTGCAATCACCCTCTTCAGAAAGCCAAATAATAGGTCAAAAGGTGGTTTAGAACCCAAGCAGCGGAAATAACACAGTTGAGGACTCTGTCGACCATAGGCACCCTGATGGACCTAAATAAATTACTCAACTTTTCACGAGAATATTTTACCTAATAACTGGAACTTATCATCCAGAACAATGTTTTCTGCCTCTTTGTTTTTCAGTTCATGATATTCCTGTGGACTGGCTTTACTCCTAATTTCCGACCCCAATAAGATCCTGGTCTAGTTCTTGGTATCTAGACCTAATTCCCCATTTGCATAAAAGAATACAAATGATAAACATAGAAACCCTGACCATCCTTGACTCCAAGGGTAAAAATACTGCCCTAGGCAATCATGATGCCTCTTATTTACTGCCTTTCAAATAGAAACTTTCTAAAGCAGCCATTGGGAAATAGTTCATTTTTGCAATGGACCACAGATACCTATACACATTGGGCTTATCATTTTGATCTTTATTCAGCTCCTAAAAATAGTCAATTTGAAAAATGGGGTTTGCATTGACAGTTTTATATTATTGATGCCAATTTGGAATTTTATACTTGATAATATTTATTTGTTGAATGAATTTGAACGAGTGGTAGAAGACTCTTCTGGCTGGAGCACTTTTAAGTCTTGCACTAGCATGGGTCTGGAAATGAACTGAAGGAGGACTAGAGATAAGTACAGGGGTGCGTCCCAATTGTGAATGAGAATGCAGGCCATATACTCTTTGGAGAATCACCATTATGGGCCCTCTGGCAGTATAAATGAGGCCATTGTAGAGTTATTCTTCTGTATTATCCAAAGAGAGGACCTAAAACAAATTAGTGAAATAAATACTGTAGGATTTCTGCTAGATGATGAGGCTTTTAATTCTTCCTGTTTCTGGGATGGCCTGGCTGGGCCTCCTTAGGAACTCAGCTCATTCCCCATTCCTCCTTGACACTGGATATGCATTCTTTGCATTCCTTGGCTTTCTCTCTGGTGTTCTATAGAAAGTAAATGAGTCACAGTTCCTTCAGTTCTTTCTTTTAGCCAGTCTATAGCACTCTACTGGTCATCAAAAAAGATCCAAAAGTGATCAACATGACCCTTTCTTTTTTTTTTTTTTTTTTGAGAAGGAGTCTAGCTCTGTCGCCCAGGCTGGAGTACAGTGGTGTGATCTCGGCTCACTGCAACCTCCGCCTCCTGGGTTCAAGCGATTCTCCTGCCTCAGCCTCCCAAGTAGTTGGAACTACAGGTGTGCGCCACCACACCCAGCTAATTTTTGTATTTTTAGTAAAGATGGGGTTTCACCAAGTTGGCCAGGATGGTCTCGATCTCTTGACCTCATGATCTGCCCACCTCGGCCTCCCAAAGTGCTGGGATTACAGGCGTGAGCCACCACACCCAGCCACACGACCCTTTCTAAGGAAGTGAAGATGGCACATGGAGACCAAGTACAGAAAGGACTACTGGGGGTCTTGGATGGCCCTCCAATGCTGTTGTCTCTCCAGTTCCTCTTGGATAATTCTGGTGTCCATGAATTATTATGTTGCCACATTTGGATGCCCCATAAGGGTCACTTGAGAAAATCATGAAATCTGGGAAAGGAAGGGCAAGTCATAGAATCCTGCCACTATAGAATAATGTCTGACAACCAAGTGATACATTCTGTTTAAGTAGGCACCAAACTGTCGGCAAAAGCCCCATTTTCGAGTTGGCCAGTTCTGGCAATTTTCTGTGTCCATTCTGCATGCCACTCAACTCCTCTAATGAATTCTTATTCCTTTTCAAGCCTTCTGTATTCCTTCTTATCATACTGGACAATTTGACCTCTGGTGTCCTAGAACTCCTGCTTCCCATGACTTCCATCTCCAATTCCAATAAACACCTTCTTTTTAAAAATTTCCTGATATTACCCAGTAGCTCTCATCCCTATTTCCCTTTGAAGTACTCATGTTTTTTATGATCCCTTCTCCCAACACTTTTCTTGCCTTCAATGTATTTTTAATGACTGGTGACCTCTTACCTCTCCTTCTTTTACTTTAACCTCTAACTTCTCCTAATCAATATGCCTTAAAACTCTTTCAGTGAAGGCAAAATGATGAAGAAAGTAGAAATATCAGTGGTTTCCAGAGGTTACAGCAGGAGTATGGGGTCAGAGAAGGAATGATGAATAGAAAGCACAGAGAACCTTGGGGCAGTCACACTATTCTGTATGTACTAGGATTCACTTGTCCAAACACATAGAATATATAGTACCAAGAGTGAGTCCTGAAGTAAACAATGGACGTTGGGTGATAATGATATGTCAGTGTAAGTTTATCAGTTATAACAAATTACCACTCTAATATGGGATGTTGTTAGTAGGAGAGTCCACCTAGGGAGGAAGGGCAGGAGGTATACAGAAAACCTCTCTACTCTCTGTTCAGTTTTACTATTTAAAGAAAAGGAAAGAAGAAGAAAACTTCAAATACCTCCCTATAATCCTATACTAAATGATACTCTAGCTATCTTGCCCCCTCTTAATTACCAGAAGTTTCTAATCTCTACATATGTTAAGTACTCAAAAAATATTTCAAAAAATCAAATATCAAAAATAAATTACTCAAGCTACGTCTCACAAAAAAGTATCTTTCTTTCCCAGTTATGATTTTTCTTCCTTCTTCTGATATCCTCACAACTGAACATTTCCTTCGAATACACCCACCCACCCATAAATGACCAATCTTTCTCTTTTTTTTGTTGTTTTGGAGATGGAGTCTCGCTCTGACTCCCAGGCTGGAGTTCAGTGGCATGATCTCGGCTCAATGCAACCTCCACCTCCCAGGTTTAAGCAATTCTCCTGCCTCAGCCTCCAGAGTAGCTGGGACTACAGGCATGCACCACCACGTCCAGCCAATTTTTGTATCTTTAGTAGAGATGGGGTTTTTCCATGTTGGCCAGGCTGGTCTTGAACTCCTGACCTCAGGTGATCTGCCTGCCTCAGCCTCCCAAAGTGCTAGTATTACAAGCCTGAGTCACCGTGCCCGGCCCAAATGACCATCTTTCTTACCACTCATCCACAAAGCTCACAAAACGAGAAGCTGCTCAAAACACTGAGATGCCCCTCTAGGCTGGTAACAGCGTGACTTAGAACAAGTCCTCCAACTTTTCTAGCTTTCTCACCGAAAAATGGGCCTGTGGCAGCACAGTTTTATGAGTAACTAAGATATGGGATGTAGAAAGACCCTAGAAGAGGAAAAAAAACACAACAATGGTCATTGTTAAAACAGGGGACTACATTTGTCCTTGGTTCCACCACTGTCCCACAGCCCCAGCTGGTAGTTTGGCTTCTCCCATGCAGCCTCCCTCTTAGGCCCAACCATAGTATCAAAACTCTCAACAGCTATCCCAGACCTGCTGGGTCATCCCTCACAACAGAAACTCAGTGTTTGGGTAGAGTGGAGAGGCTTGTAGTGATCTTAACTTTCCTGAGAATGCTCAGCCTAATTATGTCCCGGGTATAGAATCCAACCTCATCCTTGAAAAACTGAAAGCTGTCCACAGCTATAATCCTAAAATATTTTATTGGAATCTTAAAAGCAGACATATGTTCATTACAACATCCACTGCTCTGTTAAGTACTCCATCTGGCATGGCACAGAATATGGCAACAATGTCCAAGCTGAGAGACAAATCAACAGTGCAATTACATTCACAATAGCCACACACACACACACAATACCTAGGAAAGCAGCTAGACAGAGAGATGAAAGACCTCTACAACAAGCAAGCATTACAAAACACTGCTGAAGGAAATCAGAGACAACACACACAAAAAATGGAAAAAACATTCCATGTTCATGAATAGGAAGAATCCGTATTATCCAAATGGTTATATGACCCAAAGTAACTTACAGATTCAATGCTATTCCTATTAAACTACCCATGACATTTTTCACAGAACTAGAAACAACTATTCTAAAATTCATATGTTACCAAAAAAGAGCACAAATAGCCAAAGCAATCCTAAGCAAAAAGAACAAAGCTGAGGACATCACATTATCCAACTTCAAGCTATACTACAAGGTTACAGTAACCAAAATAGCATGGTACTGTTACAAACACAGATACATAGACCAATGGAACAGACCAGAGAACCCAGAAATAATGCCGCACACCTACAACCATCTTATCTTCAACAAAGTCAACAAAAATAAGCACTCACTATTCAATAAATGGTGCTGGGCTAACTGGCTAGCCGTATTAGGAAGATTGAAACTGGACCCTTTCCTTTCACCATATGCAAAAGTCAACTCGAAGTAAATTAAAGATTTAAAAGTAAAACCTAAAACTATAAAAACCTTGGGAGAAAATCCAGCAAATACCATTCTGTACATACAAATGGGTGAAGATTTCATGATAAAGTTGTCAAAAGTAATGGAAACAAAAACAGAAATAGACAAGTGGAACTTAATTAAACTAAAGAGCTTCTGCACAGCCAAAGAAACCATCAAGACAGTAAATAAACAGCCTACAGTATGGGAGAAAATGTTTGCAAACTATGCATCTGACAAAAGTCTAATATCCAGAGCTTATAAGGAACTTAAAGAGAAAAAAAATTTTTTTTAAATGGGCAAAGGACATGAACAGACACGTCTCAAAAGAAGACATACATGTAGCCAAGAAGCACATGAAAAAAATGCCCAATATCACTATTCATTAGAGAAATGCAAGTGAAAACCACAGTGAGATACCATCTCATATCAGTCAGAATGACTCAAAAAATAACAGATGCTGGAAGCATCGTGGAGAAAAAAGGAATGCTTACACACTGCTGCTGAGAATGTATGTTAGCTCATACATGCTGCTGAGAATGTATGTTGAAAGTGGTTTGGAGATTTCTCAAAGAACTTAAAACTGAACTGCCATTTGACCCAGCAATCTCATTACTGGAAATATACACGAAGGAATATAAATTATTCTACCATAAAGAGTCATGTATGTGTATGTGTTCACAATAGCAAAGACATGGAATCAACCTAAATACCTATCAACAGTGGACTGGAGAAGAAAAATGCATGGTACTTATATACCATGGAATACTATACACCCATGAAAAATGAAATCATGGCCTTTGCAGCAACATGGATCCTGATGGAGACCATTATCCTAAACAAATTAAAGCAGGATTGGAAAACCAAATGCTGCATGTTCTCACTTGTAAGTGGGAGCAAAACATTGAATACACATGACCACAAAGAAAGTAACAATAGACACCAGGGCCTACTTGAGTTGGAAGAATGGCAGGATGGTGAGGGTCAAAAAACTACCTATTGTTTACTGTGCTCACTACCTAGGTGACAAAATCATTTGTACACCAAACCCCAATGACACGCAATTTACCCGTGTAACAAACCTGCACCTGTGCCCCTTGAAACTAAAATAAAAATTAGGGGAAAAAAAGGAGAAGAGAGATAAAAGGGCAAACAAAAAAATTGTTCAAAAAATGTTGGCAAAATTTTTTCAAATTCGATAAAAATAGCAATCCACATTATCAATACCACATCTACATACATCATAAACTGAGAAAAACAAAGATTTAAAAAGAAAAATCTGAAAACCCGCTGAAGTGGTAGAGACATATTGCATAATAAGGAATAACAATAAAAATGACTGCCAACATCTCAACAGAAACAAAGGGAGTCAGAAGGCTATGAATTATCTTTCAAATGTGAAGAGAAAAAAAATCTGCCAACTTAGAATTACCCAGTGGGGGAAAATAATCTTTCTTAAATGAAGGCAAAATAAAGCCATCTGAAATTAAAAAGAAGCTGAGAAAATTTGTTGCCAGAAGATACTCACTAAAAGAATAAAAAAGGATAAAGGAAGTTTTTCAGGCTATAGAGAAATTATAATATTTGGAGTTTCAAATCTATGAGAAGGAACGAAAAACTTTCAAGATTGGAAACATAAAAGTGTATATAAAAGTTATCTTCTTCCTTTTCTTAAATTCATTAAAAGTCTAAAAATAATGATAATATATTACAAGGGTTGTAACATATGTAAAGTAAAACACGGCAATAGCTGCACAAAGAATGGGAGGAATTATAACTAATTTTATTATTATCAGATTTTTATATTCTATGTTAAAGGTATTGTATTAAGTCAGAGTAGACTCTTATAAGTTCAGGATCCATATGGTATCCCCAAGAAAAAAACTTGCACTTTAAATATAAAGACAGCTTAATCATAAATACACTTATAGATTAAAAATAAAATTATAATATAAATTATGAAATAAATAATAAATATAAATTAATATATATACATTAAAAATAAAATTCACCAGATATGGTGAATTAAAGAGGACAGCAAATCCTTCCTTCCTCCACCTCACAAATAAATTATAAAACCAGAAAAATTGTCAAAAACAATCATTTCAGGTGTCTGGAAATAAACCAAGGCAAATAATAAATTGAGAACCACTTTTTCATAAAGCAGTGCTAGAAGCTTAGGTAAGAATCATAGGTAACTGTGCCTGTCCTGTGAAAAGTGCTCCAGTACTACTCCAACTTAGTTGATGGTAGTTTTGCCAGTCAGGAATGGCCATGAAAATCAACAATTACACTATTAAAGAGGGTTGAGATGATTTGGAACAAAGATAAAAACTCATGCCTAGGGTTTATGTCAGTAAAAGTAACAAACTCAATCGTGTTTAAGGCTCAGGTATCCAGAGGTTACAGTTTTAATGAGGCGAACAGTGAACCTATCAGAAATGTAATGGGAAGATGCTGGGAATTAGATAGCTATAGAAGAATTAGATAAGATCTCTACACATTCCTGGCTGACTGGGAAACTACAGGTATGTACAGAAGAAACATGAGAGAAACCAGCATGAAGTAAAATCCAAGACAAACTTAAAAGCTCTCTGAATTTGAATATGGTCCCAGCACAAAGGCAGATGCATTAGCAGAGAATGGAAGCCTTTTGAAATCAAAAGTATTTGACCAAAACCTTCACCCAATCATTGACTGAACACTAAGCTGTGCAAGAACAAGGGAAACTTCTGGGATCCAAGATTTTAAAATATGAATTTTTAAGAGCTAGGTTGAGACCATGGAAGCCATAAATGGTGGAAGATACACAGTCCACAGATTATGTCCAATAATGTTAACAAAATAATTCTTAGAAAAAAATAAGAATATAAACTTGTCAATATAGTATCTAAAATGAGACATGCAAAGAAACAGGAAAGTATAATCAAGTCTTAGAGAAAAGACTGCAGTTAATGGAAACTGACTGTAAGTGGGACTGCTGTTGAATTTAGCAAACAGAGATTCAAAACATCTAATATAAATAGTTAAATTAAAACCATTTTTAAAGAATTCATGGACAATATAGTCTTTCATTGGGTAGGGAAGATCCACTGTCAATATAGATGGGTATCATCCAATCAGCTGGGGCCCAGATGGAAAAAAAAGGCATGAAAGGATGCTCTTTATCATTGGTTATTAAGAACATGAAATTAAACACAATACTTACAAGTCTACTAGAATGACTATAATAAGAAACTGATGGTATAAGATGTTGACAAAGATGTGAAATACTGATTAAGTGTTGGCAAGAATATGTCAAAATTGACAGAGCCACTTTGGAAAACAATTTGGCAGGTTTTTTATAAAAAAAATTTACTATACAACCCAATAATTCCACTGTCAGGTAATATCCAAGACAATTTAAATCATATGCCTTCAATGACTCTTCATAAGAACATTATTAGTAACACCCAAAAAGTAGAAACAATCCAAATGTCATCAACTGGTGAGATCAGTGGAACTGAATAGAAAGTGCAGAAATAGAGCCAAACACATAAGATCTATTGATTTTACACAAAGACACCAAGATAATTCAATACAGGAAACGATATTCTTTGCAACAAATGGTACTGGAGGAACCAGATATAGGTATAAAAACTGTACCATTATGATTTGTTTAAAAAAGCAGCCATTTTTTTTATCGCGTCTCGGCCTTTTGGCTAAGATCAAGTGTAAAAAAGCAGCCATTTTCATAATATTTTATTATATGTATGAAAATGAATTATGACTCCTATATCACAACATACAAAAAAATTAACATGGGTCATATAAATAAACATATAAGCTAGAAATTAAAAGCTTCTAAAGAAGAACATAAAAGAAAATATTTATGACCTTAGAATAGGTAAAGATTTCTTAGGATTCAAAAAGCACTTAACTGCAAAAAGATAATTGATGAATTTTGAGTTAATCAAACTTAAAAGCTTCTTCTCCTTTGAAGACGCCATTCAAATTGAAACATCAAACCACAGACTGAAAAAATAGCACAGTGCATTTATTTGACAAAGGACTTTTATGCAGAATATATGAAGAACTCATATACTTTTATCATAAAAGGAAACACTATAAAATATGGACAAATGACTTGAACAGACACCTCACAAAAGAATATATAAATGACCAATGAAAAGATGCTCAATGACTTAGTTGTTGGATAATTGTAAATTTAGAAACTACTGTGAGATTAATAAGTCTAGAGATCTAATGTATAGCCTGAGGACTACAGTTGACAACATTGTATTATATACTGGAAATTTCTAAGAGAATAGATTTTAAGTACTCTTACCACAAGAAAAGTAACTGTGAGTTGATAGATATGTTAATTGGCTTGACCATAGTAATCATTTAACTATGTATATCAAAACATCATTTGGGAGGCCGAGGCGGGTGGATTGCCTGAGCTCAGGAGTTCGAGACCAGCCTGGGCAACATGGTGAAACCCCCTCTCTACTAAAACACAAAAAAGTGGCCGGGTGTGGCAGCATGCGCCTGTAATCCCAGCTACTTGGGAGGCTGGGGCAGGAGTATCGCTTGAACCCAGGAGGCGGAGGTTTTAGTGAGCCGAGATCGTGCCATTGCACTCCAGCCTAGGAGACAGAATGAGACTTGTCTCAAAAAAAAAAAAAAAAAAAAAGGAAATCCTGTATATCCTAAGCATATACAACAAAAAATTTTCAAAATTAGCCTGGCTTGGTGGCTTACACATGTAACTCAGCACTTTGGGAGGCCTAAGCAGGTGGATCACCTGAAATCAGGAGTTCGAGATCAGCCTGGTCAATGTGGTGAAACACCGTCTCTACTAAATATACAATAATTAGCTGGGCATGGTGGTACATGTCTATAATCCCAGCTACTCAGGAGGCTGAGGCAGGAGAATCACTTGAACCTGGGAGGCGGAGGTTCCAGTGAGCCGAGATCACACCACTGTACTCCAGCCTGGGCGACAGAGTGAAACTCAGTCTAAAAAAAAAAAAAGCCGGGCACGGTGGCTCACGCCTGTAATCCCAGCACTTTGGGAGGCCGAGGTGGGCGGATCACGAGGTCAGGAGATCGAGACCATGGTGAAACCCCGTCTCTACTAAAAATACAAAAAATTAGCTGGGCGTGGTGGCGGGCGCCTGTAGTCCCAGCTATTCGGGAGGTTGAGGCAGGAGAATGGCGTGAACCCGGAAGGCAGAGTTTTCAGTGAGCCGAGATCGCGCCACTGCACTCCAGCCTGGGCAACAGAGCAAGACTCCGTCTCAAAAAAAAAAAAATTAAATTAAAAAGCTATAAAAGCTATAATGAGATATCACCTGATATCCACTAGAATGTCTATCACATGACCCTGAAATTCCACAAATAGGTTTTGACCAAAGAGAAATGAAAATACACATACACAAAAGACTTGTACATGAAAGTTTATAGCAGATTGATTCACAACAGCAAAAACTGGAAACCACCCCACACTGTTTCTCTATTACAGCATAAAAAGTTATCCCAAAACTTAATGGCTTCAAACAACAAATATTTATTATCTCACAGTTTCTATGGGCCAGCAATTCAGAAGCAGCTAAATAGTAGCTGGTGATTCTAGCTTAGGATCTTTCTTTTAACTTTTTAAAAACTTTTTGTGAATACATAGTAGATGTATCTATTTTAGGATCTTTCTTGACATTGTAGTCAAGAAGTCAGCTGATTGTATTTCTAAGATTTGGATGAAGCTGAAGGATTCACTTACAAGATGTCCCAGTCACATGTTGCACGTTTTTAGTAGGGAGCCTTAGTTTCTCCCCATATGTGTGTTTCCATTCACTGCTAGGATGGCTTCCTCCAAAGTAAACAATCCACAAAGAAGAAGTCACAATGTTACTGTGACATAGTCTTTGATGTCACATCCCATCGTTTCTACCAGATTCTATTTGTTAAAACTGAGTCACTCAGTACAGCTCCCATGCAAAGGTAAGGGAAGTAGGCTCTACTTTGTGAAGGGGATATAAGAAAATTGGGGGCCATATTTTAAAACAACCACAAACCTGAATGTTCATCAACAAGTGAATGGATGAAAAAATTGTGATATATTTAGGCAAGAGAATACTACTCACTGATATTTTTAAAAAAGAATTGGACTATTGATACACAAAACAACAGGGATGATTCTCCAAACTGTGGTACAGAGCATAACACACCAAACACAAAGAGTATGTGCTGAATGAATCTTTTATGTGAAGTTCTGGAAAAAGCAAAACAAAATGATAGAAATCAGAGCAGTGGTTGCCTAGAGCATGGGGAGAATTATTGTAAATGGGCATGATGAAATTTCTGGAGTGATGGAAATGTTCTATATCTTCAGTAGGGTAATGGTTGTCTGGATGTATACATTTGTTCACATTCAGTGAATTGTCCATTAAAATATGTGCACTTCATTATGTAAATTATACCTTAATTTTAAAAAGAGAAAGGAAATAAACCAAAGTCAGGGGGGATTGAATGAGCACATTCGAGGCTTGAGAGGAAGGCTGGAAATATGGGACACTCAGAAGGTGTGGATCAGGAGAGAATAGTGCCCTTTTACTCCCCAGTGACACGGAGAAGCAGTGGTGACCTTTTTATATGCCAAAGGGAACTCAGTTGCTGGCACACTTCCTTTGAATCTTCACATTCCTTCTTAACCATTAGTAGCTGTGGCCAATTAGCTGTCTATAGGTTATGGGGCACCTAGTCTTGGCAGAATTAATGAGCTACTTCTCTCTATGGGATGGGAGTCTTGGGATTCCTCCCCCCATCATCTCACTATGCCTTTTTTTCTGCCTTTAATGTCACTAAAAGAGAGGTTAACTTACTGGATTGAGGAAAAGAAGTCGTTAGCAAGAGTTCCATAGTAAAGCGCTAACTCTAGCTCATGTGTCTGGCAGAGCAATGGTGGAATGTGGTTAGCGCATAGCTTCTTCAGCCAGCCCACCTGGGTTAAAATTTGGTCTTTGGCGCTTACTAGCTATACTTTCCAGAACAAGATATTCAACCTCTACATGTCTTCAATTATTGATCTGTAAGGGAAGGTAATAATAGTACCCACCTTTTGAAGTTATAAGGAGCCGTAAATATGAAGCGCTTTTTTGAGTGCCCATGGAAGTAAGCACTAGCAATCAATACTCTTAACTGAAATCCAAGTTCCAATAATCATCAAGAGTATAACATTCCTCTTTAGTTTGCTTTTAGTTCTCATTGTGAGATCACAAGTGGAGGCTCCAACCAGTCCAGAAGTTCCTTTCTATGGGGAAGCTGTGGCAGCAAGGCCGTGAAGAGAGTCTGACTTAATTGCAAGTAAGTCACAAGTTTATTCCCCTACAGCCCATCAATTTCCACATGTTCTTAAGACAGTTCTGAATCAAACAGGGTCTACAATCCTGGCACTGACACTCATTGGCAGGGTAACCCTGGGCAAGTTACTTAACCTCTTTGAGACTGTTTGTTCTTCTGCAGAGATATTAACTGTCTAGCAGGGTTCTTTTAAGAAGCAGATATTCCAGGAAATTATTTAGCACAGTGTTAGTATATAGGACATCAACAGATAGTAACTGTCAAAACTATAAGTGGTTATTATTATTGAACTGTAGGGCAGAATTTGTCTCATAACTTTGTAGCAGTTAGTACATGACTGGCTCTTTGAGGACCAAAAAAGAATAAATTAATGTGCTTCTGTGTGGAGTTAATGGGATGTAGGGAAAGTAGTGCTTGCCTATTATTGGTGTCAGAGAAAAGGACCAGAAGAAACAGGGTAAGGAAAAGGCATGTTATTAAAGATAGAAAATAGGAGAGTGCAGAGGGTCAAAGGAAGATATAAACTGAAGAGATTAAGAAAAAACATACAGTGAGACAAGTTGCCAAGAGAGTAAGAATGTAAGAAATGCTGCAGTTTATGGATGAATAAAACTCTGGACAATTGCTGAGACACAAAAGATATGAGGCTGCAAAGTTTAAAAAGGAACGATACATTTAAAATAATCAGAATAGTGTTTACTTCTTCAGTGGGAGAGAAGGAGATGTGATCAGGGAGGAGAACACAGAAGACTTCTAAGATACCAGTAATATTTGATCTGTTCTTAAATCAGGAGGAGATTCAGGTACACCATGTGTTTATTATTCCATAAAATCCATAGATGTGTTTTATATACTTTTTGTTTATATGATTTTTAAAAAATTAAGGGAACAAATCTTATCCTCAAGGAGAGACGTAATGATGGAGGAAGGAATATAGAAGGAGACAAAAAGGAGGGAGTCTTGATGAAAAGGGAGATGGGAGGCAGCTTTTAACACCAGACAGGGTCCTGTGATGCAGAGGTGATTGTGCCATCCCATAAAGTCCCAGGGCACTGTCTGCCAATGAGACCACCAACTTGCTTGCCCTAAATGGCCACATCCCCTAAACGGCCCTCCTGCCATTGTCTGTGCTCAGAAAACCCTCAGTTTCTGCCTCTTACCTGCCAGGGTGGTGCCACATCCCACCCCCATCATTGAGCTTGCCTCATGTGTCTCAGCACAGTCTTTTACAGCAAAAATGCATGTCACCTCCTCCTAAAGGCTTTCCGTGGCCCACCCACCCAGATTCCTCCTTTATTGTGCAGACTCTTTCCTAACCCACACCTCATCTTAATTTATTTGCCTTCAATTCTGGGCGGCGGTGTTGGGGAGGGTCTCAATTTTCCCATGTATTTCCCAGTGTTTATTGAATACATGAGGCCATACTCTTCTAGTCTCTCTGCTTCTCATGCTAGGAACTGAACCGACCAGCCTATACTTTAAGGCTTGTTATTTCACTGACTAAGGAAAGGCTACTTAAGAGGGCAAGCTCAGACATACATAATCTGGAGTGGATCTTCCATGGGAAAACACGTATATAACAGAAATTATTGGCAAAACTATAAGTATGGTCTACAGAGTAAGTAATAATATTTTATTATTTATTTAGTTAGTTTTGAGACAGAGTTTCTCTCTCGTTGCCCAGGCTGGAGTGTAATGGCACGATCTCAGCTCACTGCAACTTCCACCTCCCAGGTTGAAACGATTCTCCTGCTTCAGCCTCCTGAGTAGCTGGGATTACAGACACCCACCACCACACCCCGCTAATTTTTTTTTTTTTTTTTTTTTTTTTTTTGTAGAGACGAGGTTTCACCATGTTGACCAGGCTGATCTCAAACATCTGACCTCAGGTGATCCGCCCGCCTCAGCCTCCCAAAGTGCTGGGATTATAGGCGTGAGCCACCACACCCGGCCAATAATACTTTATCAATGTTGGCTTTCCTGTATTTAGTAACTGAGCTGTTTTTACACTAAAAAAAAATTCTATCTTAGAAACATGAAGAAGTGAAGAGGCATTATATATACAACTCACTGTTCAGTAGCTCAGGGTAAATATAATTGCATATGCAAAGATAAAGATGTAATGATAAAAATGTCAAGTGTTAGCACTTTACTAATATAGATAAAGAACATTCAGAAATTCTTTAAATTACTCTTAAAATTTGGGGGTATGAATTTTTATAAAAATAATGTTTTAAATCTTAAATAGTGAATAGAATTAAGAAAGTAACAAATTCTAATTCCTTCCTTTTTTTCTTTAAATTCTTCTAGATCCTGAATAATTTCTACTTAAACGTCCCAATATCAACTCTCTATTTTGCTATTGACATAATCTTATTTGAGAGGCAAAAAATTTTAAAAATTATATCATCTTTTTAATTTCTAAGCCCCAGAACAAGACAATTGGCAGCATTTTTTTCATGTCATTTTGCTACATTCTACATAATGTTAAGTTGAGGTTAGGGATTTTCATTTGTGGAGGAAGCTCTTACATTTAGTTTAATGAATCATAATTTTTTTAATGGAGAAGGAACAAAATACCTCATTGATTTTTCTATGAGTGGAGTTAATACACACAGCGGAGAAATCTCTTTGTTAATTCTACACTCTGCCTCTGATTGACACCTCTGCAAACAAAGATAAAGTAGATAAAACATGAATAATTCCAGGAAACTTATGCCCCAGAATACAGAATAATTTTGCATACATATGAATAGTAGGGCAATTCTATCAAATGATTCTTTTCTAATTCTTTATGGATGTACATAATGAAATATTCAGAACTACCACAACATTTAGAATAAGATAGAGCCTAACAATTTATTGTTGAATTAATGAAGATCGGTTAATTAATCCATGTTTTACATCAGCTTTCTTTGCCCTCAACCAGGAAGTCAGAGGCACCAATGTGAGGTTCCACCTGCTTTCCAGCACATTCTTGGTTTCCTCACTTCTGCTAGACAACGTTTGATCAGAAGGAACAGGGAACGAGAAGGAGCTGCTGGATGACAATAAGCCTGGGAAAGGGAGGCTGGGTGAGCAGAGACAGAAAAGAAACACCTACCTGCTGTGACCTCACAAACACCCAGGCTGAGTTTTGATAAGACAGGTTGAATCACACTGGGGTGACAGCCTCATCCCTCCAGGTACAAACAAGAACAGGCCATGGTTAACCAAAGCTCCCCCATGGGCTTCCTCCTTCTGGGCTTCTCTGAACACCCAGCACTGGAAAGGACTCTCTTTGTGGTTGTCTTCACTTCCTACCTCTTGACCCTGGTGGGCAACACACTCATCATCCTGCTGTCTGTACTGTACCCCAGGCTCCACTCTCCAATGTACTTTTTCCTCTCTGACCTCTCCTTCTTGGACCTCTGCTTTACCACAAGTTGTGTCCCCCAGATGCTGGTCAACCTCTGGGGCCCAAAGAAGACCATCAGCTTCCTGGGATGCTCTGTCCAGCTCTTCATCTTCCTGTCCCTGGGGACCACTGAGTGCATCCTCCTGACAGTGATGGCCTTTGACCGATACGTGGCTGTCTGCCAGCCCCTCCACTATGCCACCATCATCCACCCCCGCCTGTGCTGGCAGCTGGCATCTGTGGCCTGGGTTATGAGTCTGGTTCAATCGATAGTCCAGACACCATCCACCCTCCACTTGCCCTTCTGTCCCCACCAGCAGATAGATGACTTTTTATGTGAGGTCCCATCTCTGATTCGACTCTCCTGTGGAGATACCTCCTACAATGAAATCCAGTTGGCTGTGTCCAGTGTCATCTTCGTGGTTGTGCCTCTCAGCCTCATCCTTGCCTCTTATGGAGCCACTGCCCAGGCAGTGCTGAGGATTAACTCTGCCACAGCATGGAGAAAGGCCTTTGGGACCTGCTCCTCCCATCTCACTGTGGTCACCCTCTTCTACAGCTCAGTCATTGCTGTCTACCTCCAGCCCAAAAATCCGTATGCCCAAGGGAGGGGCAAGTTCTTTGGTCTCTTCTATGCAGTGGGCACTCCTTCACTTAACCCTCTCGTATACACCCTGAGGAACAAGGAGATAAAGCGAGCACTCAGGAGGTTACTAGGGAAGGAAAGAGACTCCAGGGAAAGCTGGAGAGCTGCTTAATATACTTTCGAAAGTAAGAAGAGTTTCTTCAAGATTTATGAACATGTTAAGTTTTCCAGACTACTACCCTTCCCACATACACCTGAGCCACTGTGGTGGGTCACAGTGTGGCTATGTTATCTATGAGAGGGAGAATGAGAAAGAGAGGGACAGAGAGATAAAAGAAATTGGGTGAGAGGAGATAGGTAGCTCCATAAGGCACACAAATTCAAATATTATCATTCCTATCACTGTCCATTCTTAATATTTCTATCCTCCATTCTGTTCTTTTTACTGTCATCACTTCTATAGATTTCCTAACTCCACCATGCCTATTTCTGGTTATATAATTGCTCTCCAATTGTCATGTCAGTGTAGGGGAACTACTCCATCATAGCATTCTGGACACCTTGCATGTATCTACGTAGGTCATGTAAGCAAAGGCTTGAAGAACAGCTAATCTGAGATTTAGAAGAATGCTTTTTGATCCTCCTGGAATATGAGAGGATGGGAGGCCCTTTAGAACCTGCCTCAATGCCATCTCTCACTCTCCTTCTTATATCCCTGGGAGTATGTCATGTGACAAGTCTTTACTGTCTCCCAGGTTTTGGATGGAGCATGGGGTTTTCTGCCCCACACCCTTTAGGATATAGCTGAAGAATATAATGAGGAATAGCTGGATTCTAGAACTGACTCCTCACCAGTGGTATATTCCACAACAGTGTCACAGTCGTCTGGCCCCTTTGGTTTCCGTGTCATCCTTTTTGGTGTGTAGGACAAGGAGCCAGGGAATTGGCACGTTTGGCTTTTACTTCTTTTTTATATGTAAATAATAAGCCATCTAAGTGTAAAAGTGGCTCATATCTTCTCCAGCCAAATCAGCTAGGCCATGGCCTTGCCTTGCTTCTCATGAGTGTGCTTGACAGTCATCACCGTCACTCTATCTTCATTTCTGGTTCTTACCGTGTTAGCTTAGTTCATTCAAGCTACTATCACAAGCTACACATAAATTGGGTGGTTTATAAATAACAAACATTTCTTTCTTACAGTTCTGGAGGCTGGAAACTCCAAGATTAAGGCAGATTTCATGCCTATTGAGGGCCTGCTTTCTGATTATAGAAGGTGACTTCTTGCTGTGCCCACACATGGTGAAAGGGACTACCAACTCTCTGGAGTCTCTTTTATGAGGGCACTAATTCCAATTATGAAGCCTCTTCCCTCGTGACCTAATCACTGCCCAAAGGCCCCATGTTCTAATGCCATCATCTTGGTGGTTTAGGATTTCAACATATGAATTTTGGAAGGACATAAGCATTCAACCCCCTGCACATGTCTTCTTTCCTACTTCCTCAAGGTTCTTTCTGTCCAGTTGCTCCTTCTTCTATTGACCCTTTTTTGCCTTCTCTTTCTCCTTCACTGCCTCAAGTTACAGCCAGAGGAAAGGAGGAACTAAAACTTAGCAAATCTATAATCACATGCAAATACACAGAATGGATTGTTACAACCAAAATGCAGGCTCTATTGTTTTCAATTTAGCAGCCTTTCAAATGTATATGGTTCTGGCCACATTAAAGTTGCAAATAACACTTTTTTTGAGACTGAAATAAAGGTGAAATATTGGAAGGAAAAGTTTAATGTTTTATTTGTAGTATTTTTTTCCATTTTCCACTAAAGAGTCCAGAAAAAAAAAGCAAACATAATATAACCTTTGAGTTATAACAGAATATTTCAACAAGAACTTTGTTGCTATCAAGTAACCATATAGTATAGGTTACACAGAACTCCTATCTTCTGGATTAAGACTCCGTCTTCAAAGTATTTGGGCACCCTGGTTACTGAACATGAGCCAGAAGAAAATGAACTGCTTTTCCTTAAGCATCTCTCTACCCCTGGGTCACCTCCAGTGGAGTGGTATGTCAAGAAATGTAATTTGTCCTTTCTGATGCCATAATCTACCATATTTTTTTAAATTAAGTCATGCCAGGAGGAGATTTCTCTGCTCCTCATCACATGTTTCCACCAGAAACATGGGCAGCTCCGCATCTTGGGCTTCACCACCTTTAAGGTGAGGTGGATGGTCTTCTTCTTGGAAATTTCATAAGACGATAGCATTTTCTTGGGCTTTGGGGTCTTAAAGCCCAGCAGAAAAACCAAGTCCTGCATGGGAACCTTGGTCTTAGACCAGAGCTGTTCACCTACCTTCTTCACTCCATTTTAGCAGCCAATGTCATTAATTCCCATTCCTCACAATTGACACTCATTTAGGCAATTCTATATAAAGTTAAAATATTCTTCAGAAACGAAGATGAAGTAAAGATATTCTCAGTGAAAGTAGGTATCACCAACTCATCTGATTTAAAAGAAATGCTTTTAAGCATGGATTGCACTGCTTCAGGCAGAGAGGAAATAAAACCAGAGGGAAAATCAGAATATCATGAATGAAAAAGGAACAACAGAAAGAGTAATTATCTGGGTAAATGCAATCGTATATTATTCTCTTTTTGAATTATTTAAAATATGTATCTCTGTTGGAACTAAAAAGTACAACACTGATGGGGATTCATACAAATGTAATACATATGACAATTACTGAATAAACTAATAATAATAAATGGATCTATTCATTCTAAGTAGACCATGAAAGGGTAAATATTTATATCATAATCCCTAAAGCAACAATTCCAATAAAACAAAAAACCATACTGTTGTTATAGGCGTTTGAACCAGAGTGACTCCATCTTGAGTAGTGGCTGGGTAAAGTAAGGCTGAAACCTGCTGGGCTGCATTCCCAAAAGGTTAGGCATTCTCAGTCAGAGGATGAGATAGGAGGTTGGCATAAGATATAGGTCACAAAGATCCTGCTGATAAAACAGGATGCTGTAAGGAAGCCGGCCAAAACCAAGATGGCAATGAAAGTGACCTCTGGTCCTCCTCACTGTTCATTATACTCTAATTATAATGCATTAGCATGCTGAATGACACTCCCATCAATGCCGTGACAGTTTACAAATGCCATGGTAATGTCCAGAAGTAACCCTATGTAATCT
The DNA here is from genome assembly GCF_000001405.40 of Homo sapiens. NCBI lineage: Eukaryota > Metazoa > Chordata > Mammalia > Primates > Hominidae > Homo > Homo sapiens. The sequence continues at coordinate 730,872 of NT_167246.2, forward strand.
AAAGAGGGGACGAACTTTCAGTTCTGAGAATTGCCCACCGTCTTCCCAGAAAACTTATGAATAATCCACTCCGTGTTTAGTATATAATCAAGAAATAACTGTAAGTATACTCAGTTGAGCAGCCCATGCCACTGCTCTGTCTATGGAGTAGTCATACTTTATTCCTTTACTTTCCTAATAAACTTGCTTTCATTTTATGGACTCGCCCCAAATTCTTTCTTACATGAGATCCAAGAATCCTCTCTTGGGGTCTGGATTGGGGCCCCTTTCCAGTAACACAGTGACATCAACAAAAATAACAGAGTAATGACTTCCAAAAATGACCTACTTCCTAAGAGTAAAATGAACTATGGAAGAATTGTCAGAATTAATATTGTTTAGAACTCTAGAAATTAACCAAAGGCTTGCTGCAATCTGGAGAGTGTTTGTTCAAGAATAATAGCTGAATCTTGATAAGAACAGTGAGCTCTGTGATGTTTTAACTGGTTCCACTCCTGTTCCTTCCTCCTCAGCTCTTAAAAACCAACGGTCCACAATCATGGTGAAAACCAGCAGACATGAAATCACTGGAGGGGACACAATAGGGTTACAGATCCTTTAATCCCTTATTTCCAGAGGACTGTTATTATTTTACCTGTCTGGTTGTTCCCTAGAACTCACAATGCTATCCTTATTTGACTTGACTCAGAGCTATCCCAGAGAGAACAATGTATTTCCTGGGGAAATGAGTAAAAAGAATCATAGGCAGTTGTTGAACATCATGGTTGCCGATGGTCATAAATAACAGTTGGAACAAACAATAGCCTAACCAAGAACTTAAAAACGAAATGTCAGGGAATGAGATGCCCATAAAGGGGATTGAAAAGCCTTAATATACTCCAGAAAGTTCCGACGGCCACATGCATGCATAGATGTGGGCATGACAAGTGCTGCATATATGCTTTGAACAGACCTGAGCAGGCTCTAAGCTCTAACCCTGAATAAGTTTGAGGCACTGCACAGACAGGAAATGAAGGCTAGGACACAGTGTAAACTGCTTGGTTGGGCTTTGAAGACCTGTATCTACCTGCACACAGAGCCTCTCTACATACACTGGGAGACATTACTTCCAGGAACCTAAGGAAATCTTTGTCCAGTCTTTACCTGGCCACTAAGCTAACCAAGCAGAGACTTCAGTGGCCACGTTGAACAACAACAACAACAAAAACAAAACAAAACAAAAAAACAAAAAAGAACAGACTTGACAGATAGTTTTTAAAAACCTGATCAAAAAACATCCACTAGCAATAGTAAAATCTGGGAACAGAAAAAATATGACTTCCAGAGTTGCCACATTATACTGTTTAAAATGCTAAGTTAAAAAAGAAAGAACGAAATAATACAACATGCAAAGAAACAATAAAGTAAGGCCCATACACAGAAAAACAAGCAGTTAGTAGAAACTGTCTCTGGGACCAGGCTCTGAAGGAGGTGTCTGCCTCAGTGCATCCAAAACAGCCAGGTAACCTTTGCTTTGGGACTGAAGTAATGGCTCTGATTCTGAGATGAGAGCTCACACTAGCCCTTAATTTAATCTTTACTTGAGGTGAAATTCAATGGATTATTAGAATGGGCCCTAATCCAGTAGGACTAGTGTCCTTATAAGAAGACGAGATTAGGATACAAACACCACAAGGGACAACGATGTGAGGACACAGGGAGAAGATATCCATCTAGGAGCCAGGGAAAGAGTCCTCAGAAGAAACCTATCCTGCCCACTCCTTGATCTCAGACTTCCTGCCTCCTAGAACCGAGAGAGAATAAACTTCTGTAGTTTAAGCTACTCGGTTTGTGGTCTCAGTCACGGGAGTCCAAGCTGATGATCACAGTTGTGATGAGAACTTTACAAATTGAATCATGGGAAGTCTTGCAATAGTGAGATCTACGACCTGGTAGATCCTATAATCCTATAATCTGAGATGCTGATTCTACAACTCTGAGCTGCTAACGCTTTGCTTCTGGGTCACAGAAGCTTCTGGAAATAAACTTGTCCCACAAACTGATAAATGCCTGTGATTTTTCTAGAAATATGCCACAGGCAACCCTGGCATCTGCAGTCACATGTCAGTATATCAGTGGGGTTTCAGGAGAAGTTTAGGGATCAGCTCCAAGTGAACCTAGTGTTTCAATCTTCCCTCCTTGCTGGGATGATGGAGTCCCCTTCAGTCAAGGCTCTGTTGAAATGAAAGGGTCTGTTCCCAGTTCCACTCTTCCCACCCAGGGTTCTGGACTGTTAATGGTTGTCCTTTTTTTGTTTTCTTCCCGTTGATTCTTTTACCATCTTCCTCCTCTTACTGATTTTGCGTGAAGGGGGGTTTTGATGGAGGTAAGGTAGCTGATAAGAAATGAGGTAGTGAGAAAACTAGTGAGGGGTCTTCTGGCTGTCCCCAGACAGTCCTCGTGTGGTCCCCAGCCCAGCCTGCAGGTTCTGGGCTGGCTACCTCTTGGCCTCTGTGCTGTGTGTCTAGAGCTGGCCTCTAAGGGAAGGGCCCTGTGAGACCTGGCAGAACAGGGTAACTGGTCCAACAAACATCCCTCCTTTCCTCTGGCTCCACAGCTCAGGATTAGATCTAGATAGCATGTCCAGTAGGTGCCAGACTACCTCATTATATCCTGTGAGATGGGCCCAGAGGGCCTTGAGGTGGGTAAGCTTGAAGCTGGGCACCCAGAGCCTGAGACTGACAGTTCCTCCCTCCCTGTATCCTGCAGGAGGGGCCCTGTCCCAACAAGAGCCCCAGGGCCTGGCCTGAGGGTGTGGATGTGGGGAGAGGAGGGTCTGTGGGCCCAGGAGGGGGCATTTGTAGGGGACATTGAGTACTGCAGCTCAGAAGACATGAATGACAGGGTGGGAGGTGTCTTCCATGTCTGTCCATGGCACAGCACCCCTGTGATTCCCAAGGGCTGCCAGGGGCCCATTCATCTGAGCTCTTTATAGATCCTACATATGAGTCCTTCATCAGATGTGAGATTGAAACCACTTCCTCCAGCCTGGAACTTGCCTTTTCATTCTCCCCACAGGGTCTTTCAAAGTGCACACATCTTATATTTTGATGAAATCCAATTGATCAATTTTTTCTTTTATGCATCATACTTTTTGTATTCATCCAAGAAATATTTTCCTAACCATAAGTTACACTGATATTCTCTTTTCTTTTCTTACATACAGCTTACAGCTTTAGGTCTTACATTATGGTTTATGATAAATTCTGAATTAATTTTTATGTATGATGCCACGTATGGATTGAAGTTCTGTTCATATGTGCATATGTATATCCAATAATTCTAAGGACCGTTTGTTGCTAAGATTGTCCTTTCTCCACTGAATTTACTTTACACCTTCTTCAAAATCAATTGAAGATATATGTTAGGGTCTATTCTGGACCCTCTTCTGTTCTGTTGACCTATTTGTCCATCCTGTTACCAATATCACACCATCTGGATTTCTGAACCTTTATAATAAGCCTTGAAGTCGGGTATTATAAACTGTCTCACTTGCTTCTTCTTTTTTCAAAGTTTTTTTTTTTTTTTTTAACTATTCTAGGTCTACTGCATCGCCACACACAGAATCACTTTCTCATGAACATACATACATGTGCACCAGAAATATAAATATATGCACATCAAGACCAAGTGAAATTTATCCCAGGGATACTAGGCAGGTTTAACATGAAAAATGAGCCAATATAATTCACCACATTAACAGATTAAAAGGCAAAAACATTATTTCAGCAGATTCAGAAAAAGCATTAGACAAAATCCAATAGGCTCATAAAAAATTTCAGTCAACTAGGAATAGAAATGAAGTTTCTCAAAATGATAAAAGGCAGCTACCAAAAAAAAAATCCTATGGTTGATATTTAGTGGGTATTACCCTTAATAATGAAAGACTGGATGCTTTCACCCCAGATGAGGAACAAGCCAAGAATGTTGGCTCTCACCACTTATTTCAGCGTCTTAAGAAGATACCATCAGGGCAAAGGACTCCTTCCTTAAATAGACACAGATTTCCATGTGGAGTCATTATTCTCTTGCTGGATGTATGTCTTTTACCACTTCTCAGTCTGCATATCTCCTGGTGATGATTTGTTTCATCTTTTTTGTGTCTCCAAAAACCTCTTTATTTTGCCATCTCTTTGGGAAATATTTTGACTGTGTAAAAAATTTTAGGCTGACAAATTTATTTCTTTTAATATTTTAAAGAATTTTCTCCACTGTCATACAACTTGCAACTTTCCAACAAGAAATCTGCTTCATTCTTATCTTTGATTTTCTGTACATATATGTCTTGTTCTTCTCTGGCTGTTTGTAGGAGGACTCAGTTTCCTGGGCATAGATATGCACGGGAAAGATGCAGTAACTACATCAAGTGTGGTGTTGTCCAAGGGTGGATAAATAGGCCAACAGAACAGAGCAGAAGGCCCAGAGACAGACCCACATAAGTCTAAACATGATTGATAACCAAAAATCAGAACAATAGTGAAGGACTATATTTGTTATAAATGTGCTGGGACCATTGGATAACAATCAGCTAAGTGGGCCAAGCAGCCTTTTGGCTTAGGCTGAAGCAGGATAATAATGTTACCTATTAATAGAGTGTGAAAACTGGCTTCATGTTTTCACAGTGATTAGAGCAATATTGAGATACAGTAAATCATCAGTGAACATATTTGCTCTAGTTGCTATTGCTACTATTCATCTTCCTGTCCCGTGCAGCGTCTTATGGTTACCATGATTCAAGTGCCTCCTGGTGAGGCCGAAACTCCACAAGACACTCTGGTCAGTCCTGGGGTACAGTTTCTTCCAGGTGGCAGAGGCTCAGTCCTGGTCACCCGCTGATCCCTTCTCAGGATGTGCCACACAGTTCTGCCCTACTGCGGGGTGAATGCTGGGATGCCTCTCTCTTTAAAAATTCCAAACAAGGGAACTGGTGTGAGAGGGTGGGTGCCTCCACTCCCTCAGCCCTTATTTCCAGGTGGGGATCACCCCAGAGGAGTAATTCTTGAGATGTGGTCCCCAACACCTTTTTAGGGGAAGGGAGGCCGACATAATCTTCAGGTAATACTTGAAGTATTGAAGTGAGTCTGTGTTTCTCACACTCATGCACTCCTGAGTGAAAGTGGAGTTTTCCAGAGACTGTATGAGGTGAGATGAAGCCGCCAACTGGAAAACTACACCAATGCAGAAGCAGCTGTGAATGTCCAGCTTGCTGCTGGGCCTCTAAGAGGTCTGCAAAATACAAAACCATCTTGCTCTTCTCAATAACATAACTTTTTAAAGAAAACATAGTTATTTTTTCTAAAATTTATTCATGTTTACATGGAATAGGCATACAATTTATGTTCTAAAGGAGTTAATAAGTAAACATTTGTAAAGTTCTGAGTTATAATTACTAATACTGTAAATATTGAAAGATACAACCCTGATCCACAAAAGTTCTTTGAGCTGCTCAATACTATTTAAGACTGAGAATCTCAGGTCTATTTTAAGCTCTGGGCTCTCTCTCTTTCCCCGCACTTTTTCCCTCCCGGGGAGAAGGAAAGAAACTGATGAGTGAGTTTGGAAGAATAACCTGGAGTGAGTGCTCCCTTCACCAGTGGGTGGTGAGTTCCCCAGAAGGACTGCTTTCCTCCAAAGAGAGATGGGCAGGAAGAGGGAGGAGGGATGGGATCCTCTGGAGTAGGTACCATTTAAGGGGCACTTTTGAAAGTCAGTTTTTTAGACATCCAAGCCCCTTTCTCCAGTTCAATTTTAGGAGCAATAGAAGTAATGCATTGTTCTCCATCTGACACTGTCCTCATTCCTTCATTCACTTTCATCAGTAGTTCTCAATTCCAGAGGGAAGGAAGGGGATTACTTACTAAACTGTAATAGTCCATACCTAGCCTTGACATTTTTGTTTTTCTGAGTGAGTGAGAGAATTCAGGAAACTGAGGACTGTCTGTGTTGCCAGGAGCTCATCAGCTGCAAGGATAATAGAGACGTTTCCACAAAAAACTAAAGAACCATAAGCCAGATGCTCACCTCCAAGGGAACTGTTGGCCCAGGGTAAAGGCACATAAAATGCCCAAATTGTATCCCCTGCCTGAACATAGCAGCAGCCCAACTCTGTGAGATCAACCTGCCTCTTACTTCCAGGCATCCAAACTTCACGGGCTAAAGTCCTAACCCTGAATGTGACAATATTTTGAGATAGGGCCTTTAAAGAGATAATTAAGGTTAAGGAGCTCATAAGACTGAGGTCCTAATCCTAAAGAATTAAAATCCTCATAAGAATAGAAAGTGTCCCCAGGGATGTGGGTACACAGAAAAAGGCCATGTCATGACACAGGGAGAAGGCGGCCATCTCAAGTCAAAGAGGGAGGCCTCAGGGGAAGCCCACCCTGCTGATACATTGATCTTGAACTTCCAAGCTCCAGGACTCTGAGAAAATAAATATCTGCTGTTTGTAGCCTAATCTATGGCATTTTGTTAGAACAAAACACGCTGACTAAAGACAGGCAGCCCGGATCAGCCCTTCTGTGCTCTAGGGCCAGGGTTTCTGCCATTCACTTATCAAAGGACAACATCAAATTATGTAAATCAAACTCTGTTTCAAATTCTAGTGTGATGTGAAACAAACTAATAGGAGATATGAACATGTCCCTATCAATTTTGTCATTTACACTAGGCAGAAATCAATATGATCCAAGTAACAGCATTTAAAGAATTGCTGTAATCTAAACATCTCAGAATTGCTTTAGAATGTATCACATTGAATATCTAAAATAAGAGAATGTACATTGCTTACCAGTATCACTGGCACATTTACAAACCTGAGCAAGTTTTCGGCAACAGAGAAAACAGTGTGAATTTCACATAACAGTCATAGTATTATACAAGTGACATTTTCCAAGTGAGTAAAAAACTGACAAATCAATTACAAGAACACTGGGAACAATCTCCAAAGACGTGTTCGTCGAATTCTAGTTAGAATATGGTTGGGAAGCCTCAAGAAGGCAGAGACAATGAAAACATGTGGAAACATGCAAGGTGGAAAGGTGGACTAGTGAGCGATGGATAACATCAGATGATGGGGGGTTAATGTCAGACTTGCAGGGCATTTTGCTACTTGCTGGGAATTTGCTAGGGTAGGAGGAAGGTGTGGCCTCTGCCCTACTGGGGCTTCAAGTGCAAATGAGGCAGGAGTACAATAAACTGATAACAACACACAACACAGAATACATAGAAAATAATTATAGACAATTATCTTCACATTAAAAGAAACAAACCTTTTAGAGAAGAGTCAAAAAGGGGTGGAGATTTAAATGGGGTGGTCTGGACAAACATCTTTAAGGAGTGAAGGGTGAAAAAGAGTAAAATGTACAGATAGTGTTGAGGGAGTGCTCTAAGCAGGGAAGGGAGAAAGGGACCTTGCAAGGTTGGGCGCGAGTCTGGTGCAAACAAGGGAGAGAGTGAATCCTGTGTGAGGATGTCATGGGACAAGGTCAAATGGTGCACCTGAGGACAACTCAGGGGGTGGACACCATCCTGAAATCTAAGAGTTACGCTGGCTGGGGTGCAATTGAACAAATGAAGCAGGGTGATGTGCTGCTGTGATGGCTATAGAGCATTGACGGGATGGAGCTGGGGCTGGTCAGGGGCTCTCATTAAGGTTCTGACCATGGTGGGTGCCGGGCAACACCCTGGTCAGGGTGGGGAAGAATGCATGACATTCTGCAGGGTGGGATTCCTGTGAAGAAGCACAGGCGCTAGATTGTGTGATGAGTCTGGGAAAAACACAGAGAGTAGCCTGTGCGTGGAACCTGGAATGAGCAGAGTGAAACAGCTTGGAGAAACCAGGCTGTAGGCCAGACTGCCAGCGTTAGATCTCTCCACAGTGAGCAACGCCAGAAACAACTTGTTATGGCACTCTTACTGAATCGCTTTCCTGGCTTTTGTAGGAAGGGATGGATGGAAACTTGAGGCCATAATGGTGGAGGAACATCAGGATCATGAATCAGTCTCTGCCCAGGGGTCCCCAGGAAGGATGGACTGGGGTGACAGAGGACAGAACTCCGAGCAAGGTGACTGAATAAGGATGAATGACACTTGTCACTCTCAGAAATATGGAGCTTGCAGAAGCCAGGAAGGTTGAACTAGTTTACAGTCCCACCAACAGTGTAAAGATGTTCCTATTTCTCCACATCCTCTCCAGCACCTGTTGTTTCCTGACTTTTTAATGATCACCATTCTAACTGGTGTGAGATGGTATCTCATCGTGGTTTTGATTTGCATTTCTCTGATGGCCAGTGACTATAAACTAGTTCAACCATTGTAGAAGTCAGTGTGGCGATTCCTCAGGGATCTAGAACTAGAAATACCATTTGACCCAGCCATCCCATTACTGGGTATATACCGAAAGGATTGTAAATCATGCTGCTATAAAGACACATGCACACGTATGTTTATTATGACACTATTCACAATAGCAAAGACTTGAAACCAACCCAAATGTCCAACAATGATAGACTGGATTAAGAAAATGTGGCACATATACGCCATGGAATACTATGCAGCCATAAAAAATGATGAGTTCATGTCCTTTGTAGGGACATGGATGAAGCTGGAAACCATCATTCTCAGCAAACTAGTGCAAGGACAAAAAAACCAAACACCGCATGTTCTCACTCATAGGTGGGAATTGAACAATGAGAACACATGGACACAGGAAGGGGAACATCACACTCTGGGGCCTGTTGTGGGGTGGGGTGAAGGGGGAGGGATAGCACTAGGAGATATACCTAATGTTAAATGATGAGTTAATGGGTGCAGCACACCAACATGGCACATGTATACATATGTAACAAACATGCACGTTGTGCACATGTACCCTAAAACTTAAAGTATAATAAAAAAAGAAAAATAAAATAAAATAAAATAAAATAATTAGCTGGAAAAAAAAAAAAAAAGAAGAAGCCAGGAAGGTCTGCTTTGCTCCTGACCTGCCTTTCCAGAGGGTTTCCATGGGAATTGAGAATAATGGGCTATCAACAGAAGCAAAGTAATTTTGTCTTGAATTCAGTCAGAAATCTGGTTACTCTGAAAATACACAAAGGTAATAAATAATCTCAAGAACATTCACCCTGCTCCTTGGAGGATCCAGCATGTTTTCCAGACATGATCCCTTTTACAGCCTTGTGCATAGGCAGTCCCTGCCTTTGTGGAGGAGCTGAGCCCCCTAGAAGAGCAGTTTGTTTCCAGCTGTGAGGCTGAAATCTGCCCTGGGATCAGGGGCCTGAAACGCCTCATTTTATCCATGCCTCCATCTCACTCAACAAAGCCCTCTGAAAAACAGCCTTTAGGGACTCCCTGTGCCTCTTCCTGTAGAGTTACTCAGCCAAGAAGTAGATGACTAGGTGAGGCATGCTGACCACAATGGACAGTAGCAACAGGAGGTCAAAGGCAAGGGTCAGAAACTTTCCTGGCAGGCACACAAGGACAACTAAGGGCAGGACCCAAAGGAAGAAGCTGATGATCACAAAGCAGACAACATGATAGGTCCTGATGGGGGAACACCACTGGGGACAGCACAGACCCCAGATGATCAGGATCAGCTTGGACATGCCCATTACAAAGCAAATAAGTACATGACATGTCATAAAGCCTCATGAAATTGGTCACATGCCAAGCACTTCTCCCAGTACTCACAGACCTGGCTAACTGCATACAAAGAAAGGGCCAGGGCCCACCTCACCATGGCAGAGGTGTGCTCTGGGCGGTGGCAGCACCAGGTGGGACAGAGGGCACAGAGAAAGCTCTCAATACTCATGGCCACCAGGAGACAGAGACCCACTGTGTCGGAGAAATAGGAGACAGGATCCAGAAACACAGCCACCTGCAATGCCGCCTGGTGATACAGCATGAGGATTTTCTCCAGCAGGATCACAGTTACACAGGAGAGGTTGACCATATCAACAGTGGCCAGGTTAAGGATGTAGGTCACATAGGGGCTGCTCCAGACCTGTGAGTAGAGAAGCCAGCAGATCACATCATTGCCTACCAGTCCACAGAGGGCCACCAGCACTGTCAGGGAGAAGACCACCTGCCTGTCCACCAACCACTCACCTCCCGTATGGCTCATGTTCACATGTCCTGAGGTCTCAGTCTCATTGTCCCAATCCAGCTTTCCAGAGAGGGTTGCGAGAAGCTAGGCTATGGTGGGCTACCTTTGCTGCCTGCGCACATCCTGCAAAAACAAAGGCTGGTAACATACCAGGTCTGGAGAGGAGAGTCAGGGTTGCCCTCTGTCCTCAGAGGTTCCTGCTGAGCCTCATGAGATTGGCAGGGATTCTGCAGAGCAGAGTGGAGGAAAGGAGCAAGCTTCTTGTGGGAGACCCATCCCTTCCCTCCCAGATTCTCCATTGCAGGATGCCCTCTCATGCATACCCTTACCCCTCTCTCCACCGCATTCAGTTATCCCTGATGCTTCATGCTGTGCCCAAGGCCCAGTGTGTATCCCGTGCACCCAGATTATCTATAAGGCTGCATAAAAAAATACATTTGTTTACATTAGCCCATAGGGATGGTTCTCCAACTTTCCCACTGGTACAGGCTGTTTTTGTGACATCGTTTTGGTGGGGGCACTGAGTGACTACTTTACCTTGAGGTTCTGAGACTCCTTGAGTCCTGGATGGGGAGGTTGCTGGTCAGTACTCAAGGGAAGGGCTCCCAACCTTGCTCCTGCTCACCTCTTCTCTGTTAGCTCTCAGGCCTCCTCCCTGGACCTTTGCACATGCTGTTCTCCTGCTTGGAAGAGCCTCTGTGCCTCAGTGAGCTCGGTCTCCTCCTTCCAGTCTCTGCCTCAGGGTCACCTTCCAGGTGATCTTCTGCTGATCAGCCTTTAAACATTGCACTCTTGACCTGCTGGCAGTCTATGATATTCACTTACTTGCTTTTGTGGGAATCATGCCCTGGAATGGAAGTTCCATGAGAATTTACTTTGTCTTTAAAATTCTGTTCACTGCCTTTTCTCCAGCCCCTGGAACAGGGTTTGACACTGAGGAGCTACTTGGGGAGGGTGCCTGCAGAGGACTTAAGTTGCTCTGTTACATGTAGGTGAGAGCAGGGGACCCTGCACACCAGAAGCTGCTTCATGGGGTCCCGAGGGAGACATGCACTTGAGCCATGGGCTCTGTCCACTTCAGGAGCAGGCACTCCGCTTCAGGCTGCCAATCACAGGTCTTTGTGTGAAGAATTGTGCAGGGAGGGCAAAGGTACCACTTTGCCTTAGAATTTCCTAGTTTGTATTCCTGAAAATTCCTTGTCCTGAATATCCCGATAGCCCTGGGAAAACCAAGCTGGTTGGTCACCTAACTAAAAATGAAACGGGAGAGGATCAATACCTCTTCTGGGAACCCACAGCTGAGTCAAACCTAGTAACCTGGGAGTTCAGGCCAAGGGTATGAAAGCTGATCTTATGTGGGCAAATCACAGCTATCTTTGATAAGCAGTGGATCCTTTTCTGCCTCAGTATTCCCAGCTATCTAAGGGTTGCTGTTATTAGCTGAATTGTGACCTTCTAAATTCATATGTTAAGGTCCTAACCCCTAATACTTCAGAATGTGACTGTGTCTGCAGACAGAATCTTTGAAGAGGTAATTATGTTAAAATGGGTCTTTAGGTTGGGCCCTAATCCAATAGGACTGGTGTCCTCATGAGATGAGGAGATTAGGATTAGTTAAACACACAGGGACAACCATGTAAGCATGCAGGGAAAAGACAGCCATCTACAAGCCAAGGAGAGAGGTCTCAGAAAGAACCGACAGTGCCGACCCCTTAATCTCAGAATTCCAACCCCCAGGACTGTGACAGAATAGACTTCTATCATTTAAGTCACTCAGTCTGTGGTCTTAGTCATGGGAGTCCAAGCTGATGATCACAGTAGTGAAGAGAACTTTATACATGGAATCATGGGAAGTCTCAGAATGGTGAGACGAACCTGGTCCTACAACCCTGAGCTACTGAAGCTTTGTTTATGGATCACAGAGGCTTCTAAAACAAAGATTGTTCCACAAATTGATGAAAGCCTAAGATATGCCAGGAAATATCTCACACGTGACCCTGTGATCTGCAGTCACATATTGGTGCATCAGTGGGGTTTCAGGAGAGTGCTAGGGACCAGCTCCAAGTGAGCCCAGTGTTTGAATCTTCCCTCCTTGCCAGGATGATGGAGTTCCCCTTCAGTCAGCAGCTCTGTTGAAATGGAAGGGTCTGGCCCCAGTCTCGCCCCTCCCTGTGCCTGTTGCCTAGACTTTCTTATCTGAGGCCAGGAGAGGAAAGCAGATCCAGCTTATATCTAATCTGGTCATAAGACGAGGCTTGGGGCTTAGTAACATTGGTGTCCATGGAAACATCAGGCTGATGTGCGGTTCTGTGCCCAGGCCAGGGTGTCAGAACTCGTGATGGTGACAGAAGAGAAACTGCAAACAGGACTCCATGGCCCACCCCAGGCCACCAGGGCACCAAGCAGGAGCAGCTGGGCTTTGGTCTCCAACAAGGAGAGGAGATTTATAGATAAAATAGTTTCATGGGAAGAAGTGACTTCCCCTCCAGCCAGAAGAAAAGATCCGCTATGGAGGTGGCATGTGGCCTCAGGGGCAGAGTCATGCTTCCCATTCCTGAGCTCATTGAAACCCAGCTCATGCCCAGAGACGACCACTGAGCCCAGTGACTGAGCAGTACATTCTTCATTGTCACCTAGGAGGAGGAGGCAGCCCTCCTGGGGTGGAGAGGCCTCGGCATCTGGTGTGGCCCCAGCACTGGGCATAGAGACATCCTGGTACTTGGAAATGTCATTTGTGGTCTTGGGAATGTCATTTCCAAGTTGGGTCATGAGCCAGGCTCCCCAAGGAGTAGATACAACAGGCTGGATCCTGGGATTCAGGGAGCCAGCGCTGTTGGAAGTGCTCAGTTTGGTGCAGCCAAAATAGCCAAGTAGCCTTTGCATTGGGATTGAAGTATTTGCTCTGATTCTGAGGCGAGAGCCCACCCTCCCCACTTAATTTTTATCTGAGGTGAAATTCACATAACATAAATTAACCAATTTAGAGTGCACAGTTCTGCCTCACTTTGCCTCTTCACAATATTGCGCAACCCCCAACTCTATCTAGTTCCAAAACATTTTCATGCCCCATAAGGATGCCCTTAGCAGTTACATCCCTTTCTCCCTCCCAGCTCTTGGCAACCACCATCTGCTTTCTGTCTCTGCGCATTCACCCATTCTGGACACGTCCTATTAGTGGAATCAAACCTTCCGTGACATTTTGTTTCTGTTTCTTTCACTCAGCCTCATGTTTTCATGGCTTGTTCATGGTGCAGCATGTGCCAGAACTTCATTTTCTGTGTTAGATGAGAATTAAATACGAATATAGAAGCTGGGAAATTGGAAAATCTGAAAGGTTACACCCAGAAGTCATAGACCACACCTCAGTAACACAGTGGCTCAAATCCTACTTCTAACAGAAAAACACACCCTCTGCCCATCTACACAGCCAGGGCACCTGTGAACCAGGGACCAGAACACAGAAGTAGCTCACCCACTGGGGCTACCTTGGGAACCGCAGGCCCTCCTTTTTCCAGGAAACTGGTTTCTATCCTGTCAATCTTCAAATGCACCTTCCTCAGTAAAAAAAAAATCACAAGGTTTTAAATTTTTTTAAAAAATGAGTCTTTGAGTTAAAATGCTTTGAAAATGAAAAAAAAGGTAGAGACCTTTTTTCTCATACCTGGGAGGACTTGGACGGACTTGGTATCACAGAGGCCAACCTCCTGAGAGATCAAAGTTCTGCCCTCATGTCAGGAAGCTCTCTAAGCATATCTGCTTTGAACTGGGTCTTGACAAGCAGTTATCAAGTTCCCTGTGTCCCTTAGGTCTTCCTGTACCAGGGCCACTTGCATATCAGAGCCCAGGCCTTTAACTGAAGCATCTTTATCTCAACATCTCACGATATCCCCCAATCCTGTCTGACTCTATTACTCTGTCCTTAAGAACTGTCCCCTGAAACAAAGAAGAATCTTTAAGAGAAGTCAGTCTCTCCACTTTAATGCATCTCCCAGACTGAGGTCCAGCCCAGCCCAACCCATCCTAGAAGGCAGAAGAGGAAAGTCAGGTCAGCATTTTCCCAATGAACTCAGGAATTCCAGTAGCTCAAACGTGCTCCTTGGATTTTGTCATGAATTGAATTGCATGTTTTGTAAAGTAAAATTAATGTAAGAACTTTACTTTGCTGTCTTCTCAAAGATCAATTTGCTCTTTCTTGATTTTCTCTAGTGCATGTTTGTTTTTGTTGGAAAATTAGTCATGAATGATCCATAAACATAATGTAAAGAAGTCTTGGGAATGTTTTTGTGCTGTGCCACTTACCAAGCAGGTTCTGACACAACATATTGGCAAATTCTTACTGAAAGCCAGATCAAGCTCACACTCCATGTATCCTCATGCTATTCCCCTCCGTTCACCTACAGCTGTTTGTGAAGGAGCCAGCTGATCATTTCATATAGACTTTTGTTCACATGTGGCTCAACTTGAGAAAAATGAGATGGATGCAAGGCTCCTTTCGTTGGTTTCTCTAGCAATTCATGCATTTCTAGCTTGAAGTTGCTTCTTATCCCTGCAGGAAATAATCTTTTATTATATTCCCTCTTAAAACCTTGTGGTTAAATGTGATTCACATAGTGGGGCAGATGGTTTCTGTATGGTTCTACAGTGACCAGGAAGGAGAGATATATAAGAATGAAATACACTATGATCAAAGGGTGACAAGATGTTAAAATACACCCCTCCTTGTCCTTCGGTGCTGACTGGCTGTTTACCTCACTGCAGAGATAGAATCTGAGAAGACCTCAAGGTCACATAGGGAATGTGACTTTATGGGACAGTACTGATCCTCCCTACAAGGGAGCCATTAAGGGTCTAGAGCAGCTGTTACCTTTGGTCCTATCTCCTCTATATTTCATGTAGTTTTTATATTCAAGAGATTGTGGATCTTGAATTTTTTTATTATATGTACCCAAATTATTTTTTCATTATTATTATTTTTTAAATTATACTTTAAGTTCTGGGATACATGTGCAGAACTTGCAGGTTTGTTACATAGGTATACATGTACCATGGTGGTTTGCTGCACCCATCAACCCATCGTCTACATTAGGTATTTCTCCTAATGCTATCCCTCCCCTAGACCCCCACCCCCAACAGGCCCCAGTGTGTGATATTCCCTGCCCTGTGTCCATGTGTTCTCATTTTTCAATTCCCACCTATGAGTGAGAACATGCCGTGTTTGGTTTTCTGTCCTTGCGATAGTTTGCTGAGAATGATGGTTTCCAGCTTCATCCATGTCCCTGCAAAGGACATGAACTCGTCCTTTTTATGGCTGCATAGTATTTCATGGTGTATATGTGCCACATTTTCTTAATCCAGTCTATCATTGATGGACATTTGGGTTGGTTCCAAGTCTTTGCTATTGTGAATAGTGCCGCAATAAACATACGTGTGCATGTGTCTTCATAGTAGCATGATTTATAATCCTTCGGGTATATACCCAGTAATGGGATCACTGGGTCAAATGGTATTTCTAGTTCTAGATCCTTAAGGAATCACCACAGTCTTCCACAATGGTTGAACTAATTTACACTCCCACCAACAGTGTAAAAGCCTTCCTGTTTCTCCACATCCTCTTCAGCATCTGTTGTTTCCTGACTTTTTAATGACTACCATTTTAACTGGCATGAGATGGTATCTCATTGTGGTTTTGATTTGCATTTCTCTAATGACCAGTGATGATAAGCCCTTTTCATATGTTTGTTTGCCACATAAATGTCTTCTTTTAAGAAGTGTCTGTTCATATCCTTCACCCACTTTTTGATGGGGTTGTTTGTTTTTTTCTTGTAAATTTGTTTAAGTTCTTTGTAGATTCTGGATATTAGCCCATTGTTAGATGGATAAATTGCAAAAATTTTCTCCCATTCTGTAGGTTGCCTGTTCACTCTGATGATAGTTTCTTTTGCTGTGCAGAAGCTCTTTAGTTTAATTTAATTAATTTGTCAATTTTGTCAAATTTTGTCAATTTTAATTAGTGTAATTTGTCAACTGAACTAAAATTTGTCAATTTTAATTAGTTTAATTTGTCAATTTTGGCTTTTGTTTCCATTGCTTTTTGTGTTTTAGTGATGAAATCTTTGCCCATGCCTATGTTCTGAATGATATTGCCTAGTTCTAGGGTTTTTATGGTTTTAGGTCTTATGTTTAAATCTTTAATCCATCTTGAGTTAATTTTTGTATAAGCTGTATAAAAGGGGTCCAGTTTCTGTTTTCTGCATATGGCTAACCATTTTCGCCAACACTATTTATTAAATAGGGAATCCTTTCCCCATTGCTTTTTTCTGTCAGGTTTTTCAAAGATCAGATGCTTGTAGATGTGTGGTGCTATTTCTGAGGTCTCTGTTCTGTTTCATTGGTCTATATATCTGTTTTGGTACCAGTACCATGCTGTTTTGGTTACTGTAGCCTTGTAGTATATTTTGAAGTCAGGTATCGTGATGCCTCCAGCTTTGTTCCTTTTGCTTAGAATTGTCTTGGCTACACAGGCTCTTTCTTGGCTCCATATGAAATTTAAAGTAGTTTTTGCTAATTCTGTGAAGAGAGTCAATGGTAGCTTGATGGGGATAGCATTAAATCTATCAATTACTTTGGGCAGTATGGCTTTTTTCACGATATTGATTCTTCCTATCCACAAGCATGGAATGTTTTCCCATTTGTTTGTGTCCTCTTTTGTTTCCTTGAGAAGCAGTTTGTTGTTCTCCTTGAAGAGGTCCTTCACATCCCTTGTATGTTTTTTTTTAAGAAACAGAATCTCACTTTGTTGCCCAGACTGGCATGGAGTGAAATGATCTCGACTCACTGTCTCAAATTCTTGGTTTCAAGAGCATCCTCTGTTCCCACTCTCTCATGATACCTAATACTGGTGATTATCAGGCTCAAGTCCTGCCTATAGTCATGTATCTGAAACACAATTGGGATTCTATCCAGGGACTCTTGTCCACAGGACACCCCTAATAAGATTGGCCTCCCCCATATAGTGTATCTCTTATGCTTTTCTACCTTTGAGAACCAGCACTATTTGCTTCTATCACAGTAAAAGCCACACTCAGATAATTTTATAAACATAAATCTAGGCCCTGGTTTAACAACAATGGGCATCAATGTATGAGGCAAGCTTATCTAGTACTAGGATTCCAGTTTGCTGTGTAGCATTCCCATAGAAGGCTGTCTTTGCCTTTTCATTCAAGGATAAGAAAATATTTCCAGTTAGAAATGTTTTTGGCTGCCAAATAGAGAAGCTCAATTAAACTAATTTTAGCAGTCAGTGATGTATAATATTGAAGCACAAGACACCTGTAGATAGGGCTGCTGCAAGATGTTCAAGTCAGTGGCACAATGTCTTGAAAAAATTAGAATTATCCACTTTTACTTCTGGCATCTTCAGAATATTGTCCTCATTCCTCACTGGGCATGTTTTCCGAATGCTTAGGATATGACTTCATACTCAGAATATGATATAAAAAATGCGAGAAAAAAGAACTTCCTTTCCTTCCATCTCTTTTTATATCTGTGAAAACTCTTCTTAGAGTCATACCACATAGAATGTCCTGCGATATCTCATTGGAATGCCCTCACCATAACCAACACTTAGGCCTTTTTCACCTACCCCCAAATTATATACACCTCCCTCCCTTGTCCAAGTTAAAATTAAAATATTTGCATCTATTTGAAATGCATTCATTATTTTGTCAAGAACTGTATGTACCTAGTATCATCTTGTTACTGCCTCTAGCTCCATTCTGGCACCCACGTGACAGGCATTTAATTCCATTCATTCAGTGAGTGTCCTTTCCAGCTAGACATTCTTGGGTAAAAGAACAGACAGAATCACACTTGTTGTCAGGAAAGTAAGTTCCATCACTCTCAAGCTCACAGTTCTCTGTTCTTCTCATTGGAAGGATTCACCTAATCTATTTAGTGAATTGTCCATAGACACTGGAACTTCCCTCTGGGAGATTTTCCTTATTTGGTTTATTCCGTGGCCACACCTGGGTGTTTGAGGTGAAACACCTTTCTAATGTTTGTTCATATTTCACAATCCCATTTCTTTTGGCAAAAGGTCAGGGTTCAGGTTTGGACCTTTGGGTCTGAACATATGATGTTATTGGCCATGTTATTTTCACTTATTAGTTTGATTTTATTTGTTTTATTTTTTCCTTTTATTTTAAGAGGTGGGGAGTAGTAATTTCATTAAAAACTTTTGTCTTACAAATTCCCTGGAAACAATCTCATGAAAATATTTATCAATGTAATTTGTGTGTGTGTGTGTGCGTGTGAGAAGATTCCTGTTCCTAGCTATGGGCACCAGTTCCTGCTAAGTCCTACTTCATGGCTTTGCCTTGGAGAAGTACATAACAGCTACAGGTGTGAAAGTGCCCAGTCACCCAATCCCTCCCAGATGCATCTCTGCAGTAGGGACAGTGGGATTTTCTGCCTTGGGAGCAGGTAAAA
Organism: Homo sapiens; assembly: GCF_000001405.40. Taxonomy (NCBI): domain Eukaryota; kingdom Metazoa; phylum Chordata; class Mammalia; order Primates; family Hominidae; genus Homo; species Homo sapiens. The sequence goes on from NT_167246.2 coordinate 749,500, forward strand.
CCAGTATTGTTGCAATAAACACCCTGTCACGGATATCACTTGGTAACACTATTTTGTCTCTGTAAAATGGAGCAATAAAACTTTAAACGTTGATTATAAGTGTATGTGTGTTTATAATTTTAAGGTACAGTACTCAATTTTTCCCCAACAAAAGCAATAACTTAAACTCACCACTTTGGTTGCAGAAGACATTAAATCCTCCATATTCTTCTGTGTGTCCAGCCATTAAAGCTTATTAATAACAGGGGTAGAAAATCATATCTCATTATGCAGTGCTCCTGATGACTAACAAAGTTGAATAATTTAACCGTTTAACAAAAAAGATTAAAGTGGGCTTATACTTCACACTATCCTCCAGTAAAAAAAAATCAAATTGATCAAATATTTACATGTTTACAAATGAAATAATTTAATAGTATAAGACAGCATAGATTCATTTTATATTATCTCATGTAGGTAAGACTTCTTTAATCATAACTCAATACATAAGCCATAAAAGACTGACAAATTCAAATTTATAAAAACGGTGTGCTTGACAATAACATGTTTTTAAAATCATAACCGAAGTAAGTGACCAATGAAAATGTTGGAAATTGTATCTGCAGCTCAGACAACTGAAAAAGGACTAATCTGCTTATAGATGGAGAGCTAACAGAAGTGGAGAGACAAAGACCTGTCCACGAGAAGTCTCATGCCCCTTCCTTCACTCTGACACCTCCTTAACATGCTCCTGAAATGTCAGCATCATGAGACATGAGCTACACAATGATGCAGTATGGGAATTAAGAGGTAACCATATATTTTAATATCAGACTTGAATGAATCTTCTTTGTTTTGAGTAACATGTACACATAATTGAATAAGCACATATAGAAATCATTAAAAAAAGTTATTTGACAAATTACACCTTAAAAGGAGACTATACATTATTTTAAACACCATGGTGGACAAAACTGACCATGTCTTCAGCCACAGAGTAAATCTGAAAGAAATACAAATAATAATATTAATAATAACATTTTGTTGGTTATATTATTTGACCACAATAAAATAATATATACAATAACTAGAATTTAAAGCATATATATATATAAAGCAATATTATAGAATGGCAATTCTAGTCCTTGAAGGATTGTCTAAAATCACAGATATAAAATTAATAAGGCTTAAATAAAGGGTATGTACTTAAAGGGAATGCAATTTTTATTCAAATTACAAAGAGGTATTATTAAAACAACTTATTATGTACAAAGCACTGGGACATTAAACTGAATCATGAAGTAATGACTTCAACCTCACAAAACTTCTCGTCTTCTAGGGGAAGCTTAAAATAAGACCAAAATGGTGGAACCATTACAAATTACAATAATGTTGTAAGAAATAAAAGATCAATAAGACCAGCCAGAGAATGTGATCATAGAAATGCTCTTAAAGTTGACCTTTTTAACTAGAGATAAAACATGGAAAAGGCAAAAACAAGGAAAATTGTGAGTGACATAATTCCTCACAGAGGAAAGAAAATTTGCAAAAAGGATGTGTTCCATTTAACAAAAGAAACCCAATATGAGAGTTTTGTAAGCAATGTAAGCAAGATGAAGAATTAAATGGTATTAAGTTGGAGAGAGGATGAGGTAAATTTGCTTTCTTCAAAGTAAAAGGTTTGGGTGTAAATTCTAACCTAGTGAGGAGGGATTATATTATCCAACGTAATGTTTTTGTACATTTATTCAACACACTGCAACATATTCATCATCCTTACTAAATAATTGTTACACATGTTGTAAATAAAATCCAAGGAGTCCTGTATATTCATAAGGTTAATTAATCCTCACACCAACCATGCATATTAAATACCAACTTTATCCTCCTCTTGCATAAGATGAAACAGAGTTACAGAGAGTTATTTGCCCACAATAACATGCTTTGAATGGGAGAGCCAAAGTTTGGACAAAGGCAATCTGGGTCCAAAACCCTGACTCTTACTCTTATGTGATGATGCCTCTTGGTAATTCCGACAAGCTCAAGCTCTATCTAAGGAGGAGATAGACAAAGGGAGGAAAATCTGTGGCTGGATTTGGAGGATGTTCCAGGATAATGATTGAGAATAATGCATGGCCTTTTGTATGGTCTTTATTTGGGATTCCACAGGTACCAGGAAAGTCTCACTGGGTCCCATTCCCCTCATCGTTGGAACTGGAGCACATTCAAACTGGGCTTACTGCCTAGGAAGGAAGTTAATGTCTCTTCCAACCACAAACAGCAAGGGGTTGTTTTGAAAGTCCATGAAAGCTGAACTTGATTAGAATAAAGCATTGATTTGATGCAGCAGCCTTATGATGCAGAACAGGCTGGGTTACTATGTGTACAATTCCCCAGCTCAGATGTGGGAAATTATGTTTCCACATCGACCCTGTGCTCCCTGGGAAGAAGGTTCTCCACATGCTGAGTAGAGTGTGGTTGCTCCATTGGGTCGATGCCAGCTGCCTTTTTGTTCCTCCCCACCTCTGGCTTATCTGCTAACGCCCGTTGGAGAATCACTCTGAGAGATTCCTTCAGCCTTTTCTTTCTGAGGCTCCCCACAAAGAAATAAATGATAGGGTTGGCGCTGCTGTTTATAATGAGGAACAAGGAAATTAAATAGGAGGTGGTGACAAACATTTTGAAATCTGTTATGAGGGGTGCCACGCTCAGGGGTAGGGCCCAGAGTAGGAACATGGGGGCCGAGATCTGCACCACCGCATAGACCCTGGTGGCCTTTTGCTGCTGGGAGCAGCACAGGAATCTAATGAGTAGAGTCAGACTCGACACACACATCACAAGTGAAAGGATAGCATGGAAGAGCCCAGAAAGCTTTAGAAATATGACACATGCCTTTACATGTTTCCAGTAAGTTAGGAAAAGTGATTTTACTATGTTGATGCAAAAAGGCAGGCCCCAGATGAGGGTGCAGACAACATTAGATGTGTATTTTGGGCGGTGGCATCTGTACCAGATGGGGAAGAGGACACACACACACCGCTCTGTGCTGATGGCCACCAGGAGACAGAGACACACCTCAAAGGAGAAGGGAGACAATATGGCCAGGAAATCAGGGATAAAAAACACGACTCCATGATAAGTTAGCAGAGTCACCTGTAAGAACCCCACTGCCGAGCAGCAAAGATAGATCACGTCAGCAGCGACCAGGTGGAGGATGTATACCATGTAGGGATTCGTGGCCCCACAGCAAAGCAGCCAGAAGACAGTGCCATTCAATAAGACCCCACAGAGGGAGACCAGCACAGCCTTGGGGGCAATGATATTCAAGGGCAGGGCCTGCTGTCCCACTGCCATGCTCATCTGCATATGTATGGTTTCATTCGTCTCATTTTGAAGAAAGACGCCACAGAGCTGAGATACCAGGTTTGGGTTCTGTGCCTCCTGGTCACCACTGTGGAGACAAAGGCTACATGAGAGAGATATCTGTGACTCAGCAAACACTGTCCATCCAGCCCTCTGGCTGAACCAGCAAATTTTCCCCCAGACCATGGGGTGCTGGGACCTGAGTGGGCCACAACATCACAGTCAGGAGCAGTGGTCCATCTAGTGGTGTCCTCTGGCCTCAGACCCCTTGCCTCTACATTTTCCTAGGCTGGAATAGAACACCCATTGTTGGGTGTGCTTTTTAGGAACAGCTGAACATTAACTACATATCAGAGTGGATGGGAGTATCTGCTCTGCAAATAGCTCTCCATGAATTTGTGATCTGTTCTCCCTCCCCTAACACATCTCCTGTTGTACAGGATGCCCCAGGCCTACCCACATAGACCCAATATCTTGTTGTTGGGCACTAATGAGGCACTAAACATTGGGAATGGAGATTTGTGTCTGGTCCAGGTTCTACTCATGAGACACTAGTGTCTCATCTCTTTTTTTTTTTTTTTTTTTGAGTTGGAGTCTCACTCTGTCACCCAGGCTGGAGTGCAGTGGCGCGATCTCAGCTCACTGGAACCTCCACCTTCCAGGTTCAAGCGATTCTCCTGCCTCGGCCTCCTGACTAGCTGGAACTACAGGCACCCACCACCATGCCCGGCTAATTTTTTTGTATTTTTAGTAGAGATGGGGTTTCACCATATTGGCCAGGCTGGTCTCAAACTCCTGACCTTGTGATCCACCTGCCTTGACCTCCCAAAGTGCTGGGATTACAAGCGTGAGCCACGGCACCTGGCCATGTCTCATCTCTTTCAAACCCAGTCCTGGGCATCCTTGGGTAGCCATACAGGATGCAGCAGTGCCACAGTATGGCATTTCCCTGGGCTCAGACAGGTACAAGGGAGCACTGAGATTTCCAAGGCAGGCATTTCACAGCAGTTGGCACCAAAGAAGTCCTTTCTATGGCTGGCAGGACTTGACCTGGAAAATAAGGAAATCTGCGTTTCTCCAGGGGCGTGAGTCTCAGGCAGTGTCTGTGTGGGCATCATCGACTGCTATGCTCCAAATGTCAGCTGAGGAGAAGGAAATGAACAGACTTAGGGTGCAACAAATACAAAAGAGGCCTAAGAATATTAATATAAATATTAATATAGAGAATAGTATTTTAATGCTATGTAAATATATTAATATAGAGAGACTAGCATATTAATACTATGTAAATATTTATATATTAATAAATTATATTAATATAACATTGCTATATTAACATGTTATTAATATTGATGTTAATATATTCACATTATATATTTATGTTAATATATTAATTATATTAATATAACATATTCTCAATTATGCTATCAAGGATATTGATAATTAATATTGACATTAGTTTATTAATATTTATGTATTTATTTATTGCTGTTGTCCCAGGTTTATTGAAAATAAAATCCAGTGACTGCTGTATATTACAGCATTGGAGAAAGAGTCAAACAGCTCCACGAGGCATTTTGAAATTCATCCCAACTGTAGGCCGAGTGACCTGCAGGTTGGACAGGCTGCCAAAGTCCAAAAGCTTCAGCATTTCCTTAGTGTCAGGATCTACTTCGATGATCTCCTGATCCAGGGCTGAGACCTTGGGGACATAATTGTCCCTCCTTTCTTTCTCCTCCTCCTGTAGCTTGATGGAGATACCTCTCACTGGACCTCTCTGAATCTGGTTCGTCAGATGCGTGACGCAGCCTGCTCTCCTGTTGTGGAGCTTCTTGCTGAGGATAATGGGGATCTCCTCACACACACTTGTTTGTGTGGAAGTCATTGCCCAGGCACATGTAGTACTTTTCTACGATGACCTAGGCCACCTTCGTCACAGTCTTGATGCCAACACGACCCATGTTGGTGGGTCTTTGGTCATTAATATTAATTGATATTAACATTATTCAGTTTATTAATAATGTATCATTAATAATATTTATACAATATTAGTAAAATAGTTTATCAGTACATTTTAATGTTGATATGCTTTCAATATTAAGATATTAATGTATTATTGATTACATGTGAATATATTAGCATATTAACAGTATATATTAATATATTTGGTATACTATATTAATATTATTTATATGATATGAATATGCTATTAGTGGCATATTAATAACAATATATTAATAATATAATGTGATTAATAGTTGTATGTGATTATTAATTATTTATGATTATATTATGATTAACAAGTAGTACTATTATATCTTGTTTCTAATGAATAATTATTATTAATATTCAAAAAACTAATAATAATTGTTATTTTTATAGAATCTGGAATTGTGGAGCAGACTTCGCAAGGCTTCTCTGACCTCTGCCTCCCGCTCTGGGATCTGTGAAACACACTGGGCTCTTCTTCTAGACCTCCCTTTTTGAAGCTCCTCCAAAGACCGTTTCATCATCTCTACTCAACAGTCTCCTCAGGAAATTGCCTCTTCAGTAGGCAAATGTCACTTGCCACAAACTTATCTTTGGCATGAGGATAAGACAGTGCTAAGGTAGAACTGTCTGTACCTTCTTTGGGTTTACATTGTGATAACTGCAAGGAGAAAAATAAATTGGGCTGAGTGGATAGAAAATGATAAGGGTAATGGATGTTTCCTAGTGGGATAAATGAGGGGAGTTTCTTAGTAGGACATGGAGATCTGAATGACCTACTGGAGCAACCAGGTGACAGCCAGAAGGAAAGAGCCACAGGCAGGCTCAGCAAGTTCACCACCCTGGGGCAAGTGGCTTCATCTGCTTTGTTAATCTTTGATGCTCCTGTCCAGAGAGGGCCTCTTAAGCAACTTGAGTGCAATAACTATTTTTCTATTATTGCGTTAATAAACCCCAAGAAGGTCCCTGCAACTCTAGAGAGTTAAAGACTTATAGGCCATTTTCAAGATTGGAGAATATTCTTATCTCAGCCATCAGTGGACAGAAAGGGGCAGCCAGGCCCCTTCAGAGCAGCACTGAGCTACTGTCCCTGGAGTGGTGGGGCCTGACCACAGCTTCCTCTTTCAACCATGGAATCCTTATCACTATTTTGCAAACACCAAAGATGTAGCCTCAGATGTGAATCTACTCACATGCTGGAAGTTTGTCCATGATGTTGAGAGCTCGTTTAAGTGGAAGATCCTGGATGAGTGCAGATACAGACTGTGAGCAGGAGAGCTCTGCTCTGTCTCTTTTCAAGACTCTGAGACAGAGGCCAAGAGCCTAGCATGCAAAACACCTCAGACAATGCATCCAGGGTAGGGGAGAACTGATATGAACCATTCACCCTTAGCCAAAAACCTGCTCACCTTGGGCAGGTGTGGTACCTCAAGGCTGACCACAGACTAGAGGAGATCTCATGTGTCTTCCTTAGAGAGATTCCTGTCCACCTTCCTGTCTCAGGAAGATGGATGGAATCATTTCATTGGAGGATGCCAACATCCCCTGTCCAGGGCCCACTGCCTGAGCCTTGGACATTTCGGCTGAGCTGGCTAGGCCTCTGAGAATCAGCCCTGATGACCCTTGATGCCCCACTATGGAGTCCAGAACACTGAAGAACTTAGGATGCTTGAGAGGTGAAACGCTCTGGGCCCAAAGAGATCAGACCATCCTTTCCTGAGATCCTGAACACTGATAATGACTTCTCATACTTTAAGACAGCTTCACAGATGAAGTTGCCAGAGAAGCTGAGCTCACTAAAGCAGGATGTATCTGTAACAAGAAAAAAATCCTTAAATGAGTTGCTATAGCTGATCCATGGGAATGCCCAAAAAGATGTTACAGATTTCACTAGGGCTTAATCTTAGTCCTGCAGCACCAAGTACACACTCTTCCTCCTACTAACCTGGGAAGAGCCAGTTCAGGGGAGAACGGGAGGGAATAACCCAAATGTCCATTAACAGAGAGTGCCAACAGCTTCCAAAATGTGTCTCCAGTCAAGGACAGGCCAAGATGACTCATCAAAGAAATGCAAATCAAAACCACAACTAGATAGCACCTTACGCCTGTTAGGATGGCCATTCTGGAAAAACAAAAGATAACAAGTGCTAATGAGGATGTGGAGAAAGGGATCCCTCACACACTGTTGGTGAAAATGCAAAATGGCGCAGCTGCTGTGAAAAGCAGTATGGAAATTCCTCAAAAAATTAACAGTAGAACTGCACCGTATGGTCCAGAAATCCCACTTCTGAGTATTTGTCCAAAAGAATTGAAATCAGGTTTTCAAAGAAATATTAGCACTCTTATGTTTGCTGCAATACTATTCACAATAGCCAAAATGTGGAAACAACCTAAAAATCCATCAAAAAATGAATGGATAAAGAAAATGTGATATAAACATAAGATAGAATAGTATTCAGCCTTTAAAAAGGAAGAAATTTGGCCAGGTGTGGTGGCTCACGCCTATAATCCCAGCACTTTGGGAGGCCAAGGTGAATGGATCACGAGGTCAGGAGTTCAAGAGCAACTTGACCAACATGGTGAAACCCCGTCTCTACTAAAAATACAAAAATTAGCTGGGCATGGTGGCAGGTGCCTGTAATCCCAGCTACTTGGGAGGCTGAAGCAGAGAATTGCATGAACCTGGGAAGCGGAGGTTGTAGTGAGCCGAGATTACACCACTGCACTCCAGCCTGGGCAGGGGAGGGAGACTCCATCTCAAAAAAAAAATGGAAGAAATTCTGTCATATATGACAACATAGTTGAACCTGCAGATCATTATGGTAAGTGAGATTAGCCAGTCATAGAAGAATAAATCCTGCATGCACTTAAATAGGGTATCTAAAATAGTCAAATTCATAGAAACAAAGAGTGGGATGGTTGTTCCCTGGGCTGTAGGACAGGAAGTAGGGAGCTAGTAGTCAGTGGGCATAAAGTTTCAGTTTAACAAAATAGATAAGCACTAGAGCTCTACTGCACAAAAGTAGTAGTTGCCTATAGTTAACAACAGTGTACTGGAATGTTTTTGCAACTGAAGCTGCTTCATCTTTTTGAGCCTCTGGTATTTCCTCTGCAAAATTAGAATACTGATAATACCTACTTGTGGGTTTGAAAATTAAATGGGTGGATAGCATGTAAGTGCATGGAACAGTGATGAGCATATAGTGAGAGATGAATGAATAAATACTGTCCTGTTGGGACAGATGAATGTCAATAAGCAAATGCAGTAAATTGGATCATTTCAGACGGTGCTTACTACTCTGAAGGAAAAAAAAAAGTGGCAGTGGGATGGACTATCTTAAGGAAAACGGGAAAGACAGTGAGCCACTTAGGTTGGTCCTTTCTGAGCTGACAATATTTTCTGGCTTTTTCAGGAAGCCAATCCTGGGAATATCTAGAGGAATAGTGCTGCAGGTAGTGGGAACAGGAAGTACAAAGGCGCATAGGAAGAACAGTCGTATGGTTGAAGAAAAGAAAGAAGGCCAGTGTGGCTGAAGTTTAGGGAGGGAAAGAGAGAGTGAGAGAAATAAGCTTTTAGAGAGGTAGGCAGGTGTGGAATCATATAGGCCAAGATAAGAAGTTTGAATTTTAAGTGCAATGTCCAGGTGTTGGAAAGTTTTAAGCTCAGATAATAATATTATCTGGATTTATTTATTTCTTTAGAGACAAGGTCTCACTCTCTCACCCCCAGGCTGGAGTGCAGTGATGCAATCACTGCTGACTGCAGCTTCCACCTCTCCAGCCCAATCGATGCCTCCACCTCAGCCTCCTGAGTGGCTGGGACCACAGGCGTGTGCTGCCACATCTGGCTAGGTTTCTTTTTTAATTTTCTAATTTTTTTCTTTTTGTAGAGATGGGAGTCTCCCTTTGTTGCCCTGTGCTGGTCTCAAATTCCTGAGCTCAAGAGATCCCCTCCACCCCGACCCCACAAATTGCTGGGATTACAGGGATGAGTTGCCATGCCCAGCCAAGGATTTGCATTTTAAAGATCACTACTGTGCACTTAAAATTATTAGGATAATAGATCTCGTGTCAAGAATTCTTACCAAAATGAAGCAAAATTCGCACACAAAAAAAGAATAAGCAAGGATGGATTCCAGTCCCCAGTCCTCAAATGAAGGGTTGCACTGTCCTGATAATGTTCTTTCCCTTGGGGAAAACACATCTAAAATCCTTGCAAAAACTCCTCCGAATTAGAGAGATGAGAAAGAGAGTCAGATGAAGAGAGAACACAGTTCTCATCTTACCTGTGACATTTTTCCTGGGGGCAGGGGTAAGTCAGGGGGCAGTGAGGCTGACACAGACACAGAAGGACAGGTGACACCTCTGTGGACCAATGGTCTGGAATTGTCTTCCTGTCCTCTGAATATGAGCTCTCTCTTGGGCTTCCAGAGGTTACTGGACCTTGAGCAACTTTGATCAAGATTCCCATGTGCTCCTTGTTTTTCTTCTGGCCAATGAGTGGCTTCTATCTGTGGGGACAGATAGCTGAGCATCCCGAGGTTTATCACATGGTCAGCTGCTCCACTGTGGCTTTATGTGCCCAGGCAGGTCCTTCCTGTCTCCATAGGGCTCCTTTCTCTTACTCTGGTCAGAGCTCCGCATAGCCCTGGCAGCCCCTGACTCCCTCATCCTAGGGACAGGGAATAGGGCCTTGCAAGGAGTAGACCCAGTTCCAAGTTGGATATGTTGAGTCAGTTTCTAGTGAGCTGAACTTCATGGCATTGCTCTTGATAAACACAAGATCAAGATCAAATTCAGAGAACCCCTCAGGCAAAAGCTTTCACCATGCTTCACTCCCAAAGAAAGCACCCCTTGAGGGGTGTTCCAATACAATTTGTGCAGAGAGAAGCCAGTAATGTGGCCCTTTCTTCACCTCAGTAAGAAAAGCTTGGCCCTAGCCCTCACAGTTTGAAAAGAGTGTCCTCCTATTACAGGCATGGGTATGTATTGGGACTTCTGTGTCCACATTTCACCTGCATTCTCAACTCTCAGGGACCACAGCAGGTCTGAGAGATTCTGCCTGTCTTTCTGACACACATCGGGTCAACCCTGTGCACTGACTGATGTCTTAGGACTCAGATTCGGGGTTGCCATGAGCTCACTGTCATTTTACCTTCTCAGTACTTTTCCCTTGCTCTGATCTCACCTGCCACATTCACTTTAAGAATGCACATTTCTAGATTATTGATTTTCCAACTGAGTTGTCCCGAGGGCTGATGTTCTGTAAACAGTTATTTCATTTTCTCTGTTCAAAGATGGTTTGTACCCACCATCTTCATGTAACAGTTTCTTGGTCACTTACCATGTGAATATGCAGTCTCTGGGCATGGAGTCCCCTGGACTCTCAATATCTTGTGTCCTGTTTTGCCACCTGATCCTAGTTAGGACAGGCACTGAAAATCAACACCAATGACGTATTGTTACCCTGAGAGAAAATGTCTTGCTTAAGTGTAGAATAACATTTTCTGTTGTCTCTTGTCACCCCTCCTAGCCTTTTCCCCACAATCCCACAGTCATGTTGATGCATGCTGAAGGGTGTTATGCCCCACTCTGTTCCTCCCACACTGACCGGCTTTTCTCACCCATCAGCTCTGAAGTACAAGAGGCTCCTGGACTTCAAGGTGCTCTGCAAGCTCCTCACCTGTATCTGCCTCCCAGTTTCCACAGTGCCCTTTCATGGCCTTTCTCCTGGACATACGAAGTGTGCTTCTCAGAGGAGTTTTACTTAGTGGAATTATCTGTCTCTTAAAGTGTAATCTGTATCTTTTGAATGAAAAAAAAAAGACCTACATTTGTTCTCTCTGGTATGCAGACACCAGACTCTTTTGTGACCCCTGAAATCAGTTTCTCTGTTTCTGATGAACTCTGGAGGTTTTGTCACTGCTGCTGCACTGCTTTACTTGATTCCAGGAATTCGTCCTTTGTCCTCTGTGGAAGTTTTAGTTCAGGTCTCATTTTTTTCCCTTAAGCACAAGACCCCTCCCTTAATGTAACACCACACGTTCTCCAGCGCAGGCCATCTGTTCTATTGAAGCGATTCCAACAGCTTCTGCAATTAACTTGTCAAGAGAAGGAAGAAAAGAAAGAAATGAAATGGTCAGGTATCCCTTGAAGATTCTGATGGTCACACAGAGGGAAAGAGCCTTGTGTGTGGGACCTTGAGTGTCAGGCCACCTCTTCTCCAAGATGGGCAGGGTTTGGTCCATCTTCCCAAATGGAGCTAAAGATCCATGCTGGAAATTTCCCTGCTCTAGAACAGACAGCTTGGAGTGATGAGTCATGATGAAGACCTTTCTATTGATTCTTCATTGCTGGGGTTTCCAACCTACAGGGATGAGGACTGATGCATCTGTGAATGAGCATGCCATTCCCTGGCAGACACCTGAGTTCATTGCTTGCTAAGAACTTGGTTCTACATCACTTCTTCTGAAATAGAAGGGCCTGCTGGCTTGTCAGCAAATAAGCAAAGTTTGGCTTGCTGTTTGGAGAAGCCTAATTTTATCAGTGTCAGCTCAACATTTAAATTTGAAAAAGGAAATTCAGCATAAGCAAGGTTCACATTCAGGTGTATGCTTAAATTCTAGGTATTCATCTCATTCATGAACTCAATCAGTAGCCAGAGTTTCCAGGATGCCTAGGGATTGCCCCCAAGGATCAGTGCTGGTTTGCAGCTACAATACCAGAGTTTGACTCTGATGCCACACTCTGAGGGCAGTCCTCACCTATTGTGATAAAACCCTTCAGGTCCTGTGGCGTAGCCATGGCCCATCCTGGACATGTTTAACTTCACCCACCAGGCACCCATCTCACTAAGAAGACTTTGATGTTCATGAGAAATGAATTTCTGCTGCCTACAGGAAGGAGATAGGACTTCTCTGAACCGTTGAGGCTCCTGCTACCTCCAGAGCAGGCAACAAAGATTAGACCCTGCCAGGAGGGAAGCACACCAGATAAGGATGGAGAATTATCTTGACAAGGGGCATGAAAAAAATTACTGGATGACAAAAAAAATACATCACCAAAGATCAATAAAACATTTGTAGAACACCCCACGGAGATGTGATCTGCCCACTGTACAGATCAGAAGAGCTTCCTTTCTTCTTCTGCGTCAGAAAATATCTGCTTGCTGGTCAATGTCCAGAGGATGATGTGAAGATGGGAAAGGACATTTTCCCTGGACACCATTTCTGAAGTTACATCTCTGTGTGTGCTTTCATTGGTGATGCCATTTCTCTTTGCTTTCTCTTCTTTTCTTGGGAAGACTTCTCTGTCTACATTTGTATATTTATTTGGCTGACTTTCCCTGAATTTGCTGCCTGACTGAGTAATTTATTTCAAAATAACTACATGGCAAGCTGTTTTATGCTGTTTAACTAAATCCATTGATTGAAGCATTTTCTGACACCTGGCCGTCCACATGGAGATTTCTCTTTTCCAGTCTTCCTAGTCTGGAAAAGACGTCACCATCCACAGGAAGTGTTTGTCATTGTACCCAATCTGGTCTCAGTAGCACCATTTACATACCAATAGTGTAAATCTCTGTGTTTCTTATAGACACATGATATGGTTTGGATTTGTGTCCCCGCCCAAATCTCATATCGAATTGGAGAAGCCTGGTGGGAGGTAACTGGATCATGGAGGCAGATTTCCTCCTTGCTGTTCTCATGACAGTGAGTGAGTTCTCATGAGATCTGATGGTTGAAAATTGTGTGACCTTCCCCCTTCACTCTCTCTCTTTCTCCTGCCACCATGTGAAGAAGGTGCTTGCTTCCCCTTGGTGTTCTGCCATAAATGTAAGTTTCCTGAGGCCTCCCAGTTATTCTTCCTGTTAAACCTGTGGAACTATAAGTCAGTTAAACCTCTTTTCTTCATAAATTAGCCAGTTTCAGGTAGTTCTTTATAGCAGTGTGGTAATGGACATAATGGACTAACACTATCTTGTTCTCTGGTATCTTTATTAAAGCATTTTCAGTGTCTGCTCATGCTCTCTTCTTTAACAATAATGTGCTTTCTGTGTTTATTCCTGTGACATGCAGCAGCCAGCACTGCCAGCCCCCATGGCTCTGCATGTCCCCACTGAGGTCCTGTTCCAGTGTCTGCAAGTCCCTCCTGATATTAACATATAACCACTGGCAATTATCTCAACATTTCTATTTTCTAAATAATTTTCATTTTAAAATCCTCCAGTACCAAAAGTTGTTTAAGACAAAAACAAATAGTTAATTTCCAGTTAGCAAAGCTTTCTCTTTGTATTAAGTATGCTTTAATCACATATTCAAAAACATGTGGTTTCTATTTTAATAACTTCTAAAAAATAATTTGGATTTTGTTTTGGGTGGATTATATTGTATGAAATCCCTTGTCTTTTCATATTTTGACCATTGTATTTTAATGTTTTGTAGCATGTCTTAGAATGAATGCAGGCATTCCTTTGGAGCATATATCCAACGAAAAGGAGTGAAATTACTGGGTCAGCAACTTCTTTTTTTTTTAATATTTGATTAAATGAAATGTTTTACATCTCTCTGTTCCTCTTGCTCTTCTGTACATTATCATTCTTGTGGCTTTTTAAATTCAACTTTTAATTTTTAGATAATTGTAGATTCACATGTAGATGCAAGAAATAATGCAAACAGATCCCATACCCAGTTTTCCAGTGGTAACATCATGCAAAATTATATTATAATATTTTTAATGTGGGTGTTTATCACTGTAAACTTCTCTCTTAGAACTATTTTGCTGCATCCCATAAGTTTAGGGATGTTGTATTTCCATTTGTGTTTGTCTCAAGATAGTTTTTAAATTTGCCTTTTGGTTTCTTCTTTGACATACTGATTGTTCAACATGATATTATTTAATTTTCAAAAATTTGTAAATTTTCCAATTTTCTTCCTGTTACTAACTTTTAATTTATTACCATGGTGGTCAGAAAACAGACTTGATATGATTTTAATCTTCTTAAATTTGTTAAGATTTGTTTTGTGGCTTAATATATGATCTATCTTAGAGAATGTTCTGTGTATGCTTGAGAAGAATGGTCATTCTGCTGCTGTTGAATGTAATGTCCCATAAATGTCTCTTAGAACCTCTTGGTCTATCGTGTTGTTCAAATCCAAAGTTTCCTTTTTGATTTTGTGTCTGGACAATCTATCCGTTGTTGAAAGTGGGGTATAAAAGTTTCCTGCTAATGTTGTGTTGCTGTCTGTTTCTCCCTTCATTGTGTTCATATTTTCGTTACATATTTAGGTGCTCTGAACTTGGGTGCACATACACTTAAAATTGTTATATTTTCTTGATAAATTGACTCCTTCGATCATTACAAAATTATCTTCTTTGAATCTTGTGGCAGTTTTTAACTGAAAGTCTATTTTATCTGATGTGTGTATAGCCACCCCTCTTCTCTACTAGCTACCATCTGCATGGAACATCTTTTTCCATCCCTTCACTTTTAGCCTATGTGTGTCCTTAAAGATATATTGAATCCCTCAGATGCAACACATAGTTGGATCTTGGTTTTCTTTTTCTATTCATTCAGCCACTCTATGTCTTTTGATGGAGAATTGAATTCATTTATATTTAAAGTGATTATTGACAGATGAGGACCTATTACTGCCATTTGTTCAGGGGTTTCTGACTATTTTGTAGATATTTTGTTCTTTCTTCCTCTTGCTGTATTCCTTTGTAATTTAATGATTTTTTTGTGTGGTAATATGCTTTGATTTTACTCTTTTTGTCTTGTGTGTACCTACTACAGGTTTTTGTTTGTTGTTGCCATAAGACTTACATAAAATATCTTACAGTTTTTAGTCTATGTGAAGCTGCTAATAACTTAACTTCAACTGCATACAAAAACCCTACACTTTAACTTCTTCTCTCTACACATTTTTATGTTATTCATGTCACAATTTACATCTTTTCATACTCTGTATCCACCAACAAATTATTATGGCTATAATTGTTTTATTTTATCTTTTAATTTTATACTAGAATTAAAAGTGACTTATGCCATCAGAGTATGAGAGAAGTCTGAATTGTACTATATTCTTATTTTTACAGTGAGTTTTATACTTTTGAAATGAGAAAAGTTCCCTTGTTCCCCTCGCGGGGCACGTGATGGGGGTGTGGCTTGCTTCTTCAGTGCCCCACTGCTCAAACCTCTAGGGGAGCATACAGATGGGCAGATTGTGGGGCTCCGACCCCACGGTGGCATCTAGGGGTGGATGTTTACAGCTCCTGAAGCCCTAGGAGGAGAAACTTCTCATCTGCTAAATGGGGCTCCCTTGCAGCTCTGAGGTTCTGAGATCTTAATGTGTGCACTGTGTCTTCAGTGCACACAATACCACCCAACACAAATTCAATGCAATTGATTCCCCAGCAGTTGAACTCAATCACAATGCCACTGGCCTTGTTCTAAAAATTAAAGAACTGCTGCAGGAAGGGCCCTATAAATTTTGTCATCATAACTGCCTGAGCCAGAGATGTGGGGTGTTCCCTGCCAATCAGGGCAGAACAGGTTGACATGGGCCAATGAAGCCCAGAGGTCCTGGAGGAGATGAAAGTCACACAGGCCCCCTCAGAGATATCTGCCAACGTCAGTGTTGGGGTCTCTTCTGAAGGACGCTGTCTGTGAGATTGGGAAAGGTACCCAGCAGCCTTGTTTCTGTGGCCCAATACTTTTTCCACCAGACTCCTTCACGTGCCTAATTTGGGACATGGTTTCTGAGCTGCAGGTGTTGCCCACTCCAGCCCAGAGATCCCAGAACATCCTGCAAGCTCAGACGCAGGATAAAGGGCCACAGGAGCAGGAGCCTCCTCTCTCTGGGCAACTTCAGACTGTTTCCCCACTGTGCTGTCCTAGAAGGGGCTGATGCAGTGAACAGAGCCCTTGGGGCAGGTGGGGCCTGGGCTCAGCTGCAGAGACCAGGGGACGGGCTGGACCACATTCTCTTTCTGCCATATGCAGCTGCCTTACACTACAAGAGGGGGAAGAAGGGAGCTGAGGAGGTAAAAAGAGAAAAGACCCAGAGCCAGCGGGCTTTGTCACATCGGCTGTGACAGTTAAACCTGGCATTACTCGTAATTGCTTACATTTACTACACATTCATACAGAGGCCATGCTGTGGCTAGGCGTCTCTGGGCTAAGAATGTCTTATTCATTTAGAACTAGTACCTCGGACTCTGATTACGGGCCTTGCTGCGTGTAAGGAACAGCACTGCTTTAGCATGAAGCCTAGCCTATTGTCAGTGCTCAGAGAGCTCTGACACCAACAATTGGTTTTCCTACAAAGAATCACGTAATATTTGGGTTATAGAAGCAGGGCAGTGCTAACTGGATGTCCTGAAAGGAATGGACCTGGCATAAGAAGGGATGGAGAGCAGAATTTGAAAAGCATCCAATCCTGAAATTGGGCTGGAGGGAGCATGTCCCAAGCCTGTTAGGGACTGCAGGAAATTCATGACCAGTATGAAGGTGAAGCTGGGCACCTGCAGGCAGGCTGGTCTGCTCTCTCTGCTGTGACCCTCCTCAGGGCAGGCTGTGCTGTCAACAGGTGTTGTGCAATGCCAAGAACCCATGAGAATTCTCACTACGCCAGGGTTTTGAGGCACCCCTGTTCCCAGGTTCCTTCCTAGAACCCTGGTCGCCTTGGGATGACTGGGGGATTCTAGTTGACTACCCAAGGAAATCTGAAGCTTGGGAAGTTTGCAATGTTAAGTCTCGGTCCAGAGTCGGACCTGGCTCCGCGCCTGTCTGGCAGCAGCAGCAGCAATCCCTATCCGGGTCCAGAGCCCTGCCCAGTGGATACTGTGTGGTGTTTCCACAAAGTTGCATCTTTGAGCACCTCACAGAGAATCTGGAGCCTCTCAACCAGGACAACGTGAGAAAAAAATCTGAAGAAAAAGGCCCAGGTGCTTGGGGTAAGAACAGCCAAGCAAAGGGCAGAGGCTGAGTGGGTGCCAGGAGGACACTTTGTCACTTTGGAGACAGAGCCTTTGGCTTAAGGAGTTCCAGGCTGCTCTGGAGGCGTCGGGGGAGGCCTCTGGGACCACCTAGTCATTTTCCGCAAGAAAGTAAGAGATTTCCCAGTTTTGTGCTCATGGGGAGCATTCACCTGAGATATAAAACTTTAGCTGCTTAACTCATTTTAAGGGAATAATAACATATTTGCATACACTTTATTTGGAGGCAAAAGAAAAAAAATAGTCTGTTGAATAAATTATTCTAGATTTTACTTCCCAGGGATTTTTTTTTCTTTCTAAAAATTATAGACAATTCATCTCCTATTCTCCCTTCTTGAGAAATTAACCATTTGAAAACAGATATGTGCCCTTAGTCTGCCTTCCAATATCTCTCATACGATCCATGATTTTTAAAGAAATACAACTCCATTGCATGACCAAAGGGAGGAGGGGGAAACGGAAAGAAGGAGCTGGGCAACACAAGCACCAGGGGGAAGGGCCTGGGGCCCAGGGCCAGCACCTCCCTACTTGTGGGAGCCTCAGCTGTTCCTTCAATCCCCAGGCCACACCTAACCTTGGGTTGAAAAGTGCTTTCTGGGCTGACTCCGCTGTTAGAACAGGTAGGAGGTTGCTTGGTAAATGTTGCAAGAATGTGAACTCTTGTGGTAGAAATATTCTGAGGCTGATTCAGAGGCTGCCTGGGACCCCGTCACAGCTCTGGGGTCCGTCTCCCACAAGGAGCCATGCCCCGAACAGAGGTACCTGTGTCCACTCATCCTGCAGAGAGTGGGAGCCAGTTCCTGCCCCACCTGCTGTCTCCTAAGTGCTTCTTTGTGCCCAGGAGGGAGAGGGAGCAAAGGGCATGGGAACCTCCTGGGCTGTGACCAGTCATCACCTGGGATCCCACTGCCACAGCTCAGAGCTAAAGACAGAAACACCCAGCATTTCACTGCACGCTGATCTCAGCCAGCACTGGGAAGGGCTGGGAGCATGTCCTGCGTGCTTGGTTTCCCATGCCCCTGAGACGCTTTTCCTGCTTCCGCACTATCTCCTTGGGTTGCACAGAGAGTTCCAGCACTCCGCTTCCCTGGGGAAACTGACAATGACTGGCCCTTGATTGACTCACCCAGTGAGTTGGTTTCCTGGGGCCATGGTAACAAACTACCACAAACCAGATGGCTTTAAAAAAAAAAAACAAAAAAAAAACAAAACAAAACAGAAACTCATGCTCTCCCAATTCTGGAGGCCAGAGGCCATAGTCTGAAATCCAGGTCTGGGCAGGGCCAGGCTTTCTCTCCCAGCTCTGGTGTATCCTGGCAGTCCTTGGCTCTCCTTGGTTGCAGCTGCATCCCTCCCACCTCTGCCTCCGTTTTTGTGTGACATTCTCTCTGCCAGCATCTGCCTGTTTCTCTTGTCTTGTACCTACACCAGTCATACTGGATTAAAGGCCCTCCCTGCTCCACTCTGATCTCATCTTAACTGACATCCCAATGACATCTACAAATACCCTATTTCCAAAGAAGATCACATTCCCAGGTATCAGGGGTTAGGACTTGAACATATCTTTCTGAGGTCACACCAGGTGACCCTTCTTCCCTAACAGACCATCCAGATCCTCTGTGGCTTTGCAGTTATGAGCATGGGGATCCTTTTGGCATGTACTTCCTTTCCCTGTCACTTTGGCCCAGTGGTTCTCACCTTGGTGAGGTCTGGATACCCATTCGTAGGAGCCAAGTATGTGAGTAGGATGGGTGTTCATGGAGGGTGGTCTCTGGGATGGAGCAGGGCACAGACAACTGATATGCTACCTAGCAATGTCTCTGTGGAGAGCAAAGATGCAGGAATGGAACTTGTTTTGAGGGCAATCAGCCAGGAGTGAGAGAAGGCCTGGCAGGAGAAGGGGTTT
The DNA here is from genome assembly GCF_000001405.40 of Homo sapiens. Lineage (NCBI taxonomy): Eukaryota > Metazoa > Chordata > Mammalia > Primates > Hominidae > Homo > Homo sapiens. The sequence goes on from NT_167246.2 coordinate 768,737, forward strand.
TGCCAATGGGAACAGAATTGATCATCTGGCTCAAATATCAGTTCTTCCAAAATCCTCATAGTGCCATCCTCGAGGGCCCTGGGAGCCCTGCAGCTTCTCTCTGGGGTGACAATAGCATGTGTAGCCTCAACAGGGACACTATAAGAATAAAAGAGTGTGCTATTACTATTTATGCCATGATCACAGGAATACCCAGGACTGTCCCTGACACACTGGACATAGGGTCACCCTACTTCTCCCTAAGTTCAGGTGACACAAGGAGTAGGAGTGAGGTGGGCAGACAGCAAGTGAGAAATGGGGTGGACAGGGCACACAGTGGGGTGGCCAGGCTGGTGCATTTGTGGCCCTGTCTATGGGGCCAGCAGGACCAGTGGGGTCAGTAGAGCATATACTGAGCTTGAAGAGGTGGCATGGAGCACTTAGAAGCTCTATCTGCTGCTTGTCATCTCTTGGCATGTGGAAGGCCTTCTGCAGAGTTACGCTCCAGACATAGCCTCGGAGTCCTGAATATCCCCCAGGCTCCTGGAATCAAGGAGTGTCTTAGACGGCTTGAGCTGCTTTAACAAAAATACCATAAGCTGGGTGGCTTATAAACAGCAAGCATCTATTACTCACAGTTCTGGAGGCTGGAAGTCCAAGATCGTGACACCGACAGATTTGGTGTCTGGTGAAGGCTGTTGCTTGTTCATAGATAGAGCGTTCTCGCTGTGTCCTCATGTGGTGGAAGGGCAGAGGAATCTCTCTGGGTTCCTTTTATAAAGGAAGTAATCCCATTGATGAGGGCTTCACCCTTACGACCTACTCACCTCCCAAAGACCCCACCTCCAGATACCATCGCATTGGAGGTTAGGTATTTAGCACATGAAATCTGGGGGCAACAGACATTCAGGCCACAGCAAGAAGCTTCAGGAGAAAGCTTTCAGTCTTGTGAAATGTGAATGAGGCTTTCCCACAGCCTAGACCTGTCTTCACGCCCCAGCCGCAGCCTCTTGCATTCACGGTGGCTTTTGAGCATCCTCTGACCACTGAGTCACAAACCTCCCTGTTCCCTCTCTATCTGGCTATTTTCTTGGTAGGACCAGAAAAACTTTTTTTTATAGTCTTGCCACCATGCCATGTAGTTTTCGTACATTGCAGCTATTTCAAATTACTGCATTACCACAGAACACTTTTTCTGTAATAACCCAGAATCAACAGTTTTTTTCTAGCTGTTAACCTGGCCTCAAAATCTTCCCTTTATTTGGGCCCCCTTTTTCTTCTGTCCTTAACTCTGACTCTGGTAGAGCCCATGGAACTGACAGTTCAAAGCCCGCGTGGCTTTTCTCTCCCCACCACAACATCTTCATCTAAATAGAGTCTTGTAACATTTACCTGCCCTCTCTCCCTTGAAAATCACTGTTCCCTGGTCCCTGTTGGGGAGCCTGGGCCTTAAGCCCCTTTGTCTTTGCCCTAGAAGAACTTCCTCTCCAGCTGAGTCAGGTTCTCATGAGATTCTAGGGGTGGCTTGGCCTCCTATATCCACTTCCCTCAACATTGGCCTGTAGCCACATATGGCCTGGACTTTGGCCCAGCTTCCAGCATGCCCAATAATGTCAGCCCTGTGGGGAAGTTCCTGGAGGTGTACAAGGACGTGACAATTCAGTGGTAGGGACATCGGGGTGCTTGTTCATGTGGAAACTGACTTTACCATTTTCCTCTTTTCTGAGTAGTTTATCATTTCTGGATTGCTGTCTGTCATTTTGGGAAGAAAATCAAACAAGCATCTGGTGAGTATAGGAACAACAGTGCCTCACTTACTAAAAAGAGACTTTAGCGGAACCTCATCCAGTTGGATCTTTCCAAGGTTCAGACAAAGGAACTGAACCCCAGGTTGCTGACAAGTGTCCTTTGGTCAGTGGCCCTGTGGAAGTACACAGGGCCCACTGATCTGGGGGACACCTTTCATGATCCTCATTTTGAAGAGAGTCCTGTACCCTCTCCAGGCTCTGGGTGGCTTTATGGGAAAATTCTGCCTCATCATGACACCCTTTGGTGTTCACTGACCACCGGGGTTCAGGTCCTTGGTGAGCACAGGGGAAAGAGGACAGTGAGAGCATGGGCTGTTAGTTGTGCACCACAGCCTGGGTGAGAAAAGCATCAATCAAAAGAGATGAGCCTTGCTGGTGGGGGCCAGGAAGGGTGCAGAGTGAAAAGGGGGTGTTCAGTGATGGGTGCACATCTGATTGACAAACTTTTGCAGAATCATTTCCAGGCCTTTCTTAGGAGGCTAAGAGGCATGGGTTGGGGGACAGAGATGGGTATGGTGGAGATTCTGGTGACCTGGGATTTGGGGGTCTCCCTGTCCTGACACAGAAGCTGCCAAGAAACTGGCAGCCAAGCCTCAAGGTGGCAGTGCCAGGTTTGGACACTGTCATTCTCTCAGACCTCCCTCAAAGGATCAGATGCCCTTCTTCATCCCCACCCTCAGCCTCCCCTGAGCCCTCCAGGAAAGCAGCCTGTGTGGATCCCCTAAACAAGGGCAGGAGCACCAGCCCTACAGAGCAAGCAGCAGCTGGGTGAGGCAGACGGCGGCACAAGGTGGGGACCACGGTGTTCCAGGGCCACTTAGGCTCCTAGGAAATTCACCCGCCACCATCCTCAGGGACCTCTTCTTTGAAAAAAAGGGACTTTCTCAGAACATTCTGACAACACGAGTTGTGAATCCCTGGGGCTGTATGGAGAAATGGCCCACGACCTTTTTCCATCTCTTCCCCCATCACTGCCCAGCTCTGAGATTGAGCCCCTGGGAAGAGGGCCCGGATCTTTGCCAGAGGCTGCTGGGCATACCTGAGCACACGTGCCATGGGCTGCTTGTGACGGGCTGGAACACCTAGCCCAGGTGTCCCAGAAGCCACCACAGACATCAGCCTATTCCTCCCCTGGTGTTGGTCTTTGAAAAGTGAGTCTGGACACCGCAAAACTGGAATCCAGGTTTCCTACTTTCGAGGGGAGGTAGCACCCCATGGCGCAGCTGTGATTCTCAGCCCTCCTCTGGGCCGTGCCCCAGCCGGGATCTGAACATCCACCCTCGGCCCCAGGTGCTGTTGCCCCCACACTGAGCCCTCGTACCCCATGCTCCCTGGCCCTCCTGCCAGGGCACCCTTTTCACAAAGTGGAGTGGATGAAAAGAACAGGAAAGAGCACCAACCCTGCTGCTGTCCCCATATGACAGAGGCTGCTGTGGGGGCATCTGTTGTACTTGGGTGAGCAGGCCCCTTGGCCTCGAGCTCTACCATGCAGGGGTGCTGCAGACAGAGCCAGGTGATAGGAAAGAGCATGTCTGGGAACCCACCTGATGACAGCCTCAGCTCAGGATGAGGCAGGAGGCCTCTGGCTAGGCTTAGGGGAGATGGCTGGAGGAACCTCCTCAGGGTGCCAGTGGACTGGGTAAAGCCAGCAGGGGGCTTGGAGGTCAGGGAAGCTGTGATTTATCAAGCACTGTGGGCATTGCAATATTTTCTCTGTTCGGTTCAGTCCAATGGGACATCAGTTCTATACATATCTTCCTCTTCCTCTAGCCCTGCTCAGTCCTGGGTGGAGAAGCTACCAGAACCACATCTCCTGTCTGTCCCACCATAAGTCTCTGCTTCATTCACGCTTTCATGTGTCGTGCATCAAGCAAGCATTTGCCTGTAGGCTTGGGGAGCTCTGAGAGGGGTTGAGAGTGAACAAAATTAATCAAATCGTATAACAGAAGAGGAAGTCCCATCCTGCCGAGGATCCTGGATGTGAGAACCTGCTGCTGGCCTGGTGGGATCGTGGTGCCCCAGGAGCATGAACTGCTCAGGAGCAGACCCTGACCAGATCCCCTGCAGGCCTGGAACAGCCTGATCAGCAGCCTCCTAAGCCCCATGGCTGCCACAGTGGGCCTCATTGTCCTTCCCTATCACCTAGCCGGGGTGTTCCCAGCTGCCAGACAGTGCCAACTGGTGGTGCCTGCCCATCAGTGCCCCAAGACAGCCACTACTTTTCGAAGAATGAGACCACCAGCTGCTTTGTGGCCAGCTCCAGCTTACTGGTGAGTATTTTTAGGTAGAATCTTCCAGACTAGTGAAGTCTTTGAGATTTTCTGCTTCTTGTTCACTGCTTCCTTCTGATGTGGACCATGCGGAAAGAGGCAGAACACAGGAACCCACACATGGGAGAATAGCAGGCATTTGACTGGACTGTGCCAAAAGAGTTGTTCAAGTACAATATCAAGCAAGACTGTAGTTGCAAAAAGACATAACCAACAACTTGGTTTCAATTTGAGCAACTTAATAAACAAACTGATTTAACTGTCATAGTCTCAAGGGATGGGTTTTTCCAAGCAAGAACTCTAGGGTCAGGGTAGCGAATTGCTCAAGAAAGGCCAAGAGCTCAGGGAGACATAGGAACCTCATAAACAGGGTGGCCACAGGCTGGCAGTGCCCAGGTTCAGCCAGGCAAGAGCCACAGGTCAAGGGAGGCTGCAAGAGGCTAAATCCTAATTCCATCACATGCACAAAAATGGATGGGATGGCCAAAAATGACCCCAAAAAATCAGGAAACAAATACGGAATGGGCTTTTTAATTGTTGTTTGCAATCAGAACTTTATGAAAATGACAGAATGTGGTTTCGCATTCTCTGTTGCATTAGAGCCAGTCTGAGCATCAGTATTTGCTCTAAAATGTGTTTAGTCAATAAAGTCAAGAGAACATGTGTGTGGAACACTGAGAAAAGAAGGCAGAGGAAGTTTGCATTCCTGCAGCCATAGAGGGGGATATTCTAGGGGTGGAGAGGCAGCAGGCAGGGGGAATGTGTGCACAGCCTGGCCGTTGTCCCATCCCCTCATCGCTGGCTTCAGGCCATCCTCCCATAGATGGAGCAGCTATAATGGGAGTGGAGGGTTGAGGGGCAGGGGAGGCATCTGCTGAGCGGCTGGATGGGGTTTGTGTAGTGGGTTAGGATGAGCTCCTCAGAAACCAGCCTGAGCTCTCTGGCTCAGGAGCTTCTCAGGAAGAGCTGAGAAGCGGCAACCCCTGCCTGAGGGGTCCTTGTGTTCATTTCCCATGGCCACAATAACAGAGGACCACAAACTGGTGACTGAAAACAACAGAAGTGAATTCCTTCACAGTTCTGAAAGCAAAGTCCAAGATCGAGGAGTCGGCAGGGCCGCTCTTTCTCTGAAGGCTCTAGGAAAAAACTCTTTCTTGTCTCTTCCAGCTTTGGGGAACTCCAGGCATTCTTTGGCTTCTGGACACGTCTTTCTAACCTCTGTCTCCATCCTCATGAGGGCTTCCCCTCTGTTTGTCTCTGTGTCCTGTTCTCTTCTTATAAGAACACCAGTTATTGCATTTAGGGTCCACCCTAAATCCAGGATGATTTCACCTTGAGATCCTTAACTAATTGCACCTACACAGACCATATTTCCAGATAAGGTCATATTCTCAGGTTCTATGTAGACATGAATTTGAGGGGGGACACTAACCCACTATAGTCACAGTCTGTACAAATAAATTCTAGATTCTGCCCACCTGTGGCCTTACCTGTTCTACTTGGAAGTCATTGTTCCATGGAAGGTGACCCAGGGAAGCAGAATTGTTCTCCTCCTCAGGCAGATAGCTCCTGGGGACTGGCGTGAGAATTAGCAACTGTGCCAGCACATCACTTTGATTGGTCAAGGTGCCCCTTGCTGCCTCCCAGCCAAGCCAAGCAGGCCCACCCCAGGGAGCATAGGTGGGTAGCAGGTGCTGGCGCTCAGTTTACAAAGGAAGGCCTTCTGCCTCACCACCTCTGTGGACCTGCAAACCGCCCTAAGGGGTGAGTGGGAAGTCCCCATCTTACAGAAGATGAAATTGAAACCCAGACAGGCGGAGACTCTCCCTGGAGGCCAGATGAATGAAGAGTCAGGAGGCTCAGCTCAACCTTGGGTGTCACCTGCCACCTGTACTGCTGTCCCTGGAGTGGCCCAGGATACTAGGATATGACACTGTCTCCCAGATCATGAGCAGGTTGAGTCAGGTACGAGGGAAGAGGAGCCAGCAGATGACACTGTCTAAACCCATCTGGTCATCTCAGGAAGGCAGAAGGGTTGGCCAGTCCAGCACAGACCTCGTGCATCCTGCATTTCAGAGGATCCTGTCTGTGATGCTCCTCTTCACGGCATTGGAGCTCAGTGTCGCTATCCTTTCTTCTGTCCTCTTGTGAAAAAAGACCTGTTCAGATGTCCTCAGGGTGAACCTGCTGTGCCCTGGGCTCTGGGGCCTGGGTGGTGGCACAGGGCATGGTCGTGGGGCCAATGGCAGGTGGTACTAAGGTCGACCCATGAATCTTGACCTTAGTCGAAGTCGACAGGTTTTGTTGAGTGAGGCAGCAGCCGGCAGAACAGGATGAGAGCAAGTGCCCAGGGTGGAGGAATCACAATAGGAAGCGATGGGACCAAAGAGAGCACATCACACATCTGCTCATTTAGCAAAGCAGGAAACAGGCTAAGGTGCAGAAGCCCTCTGGTCCCTGGAACCCTCAAGTTTTTATATTTGTGTATCCCTTGTCTTTTGTTTCAAGATATTTTTTAATTTCTCTGGTTTGATTTTTTGGAGATAAAAGGCCTTCCACTCAGCGTACAAGGCCTGTTCACTTGCTTTGTCCTCTCCAGAATGTGTTTCCTGACCCAAAGTGACACAGTGATCACCAGCATGCCCCAGGCAGCATTTGCTGACACCGTCCTGGAGATGAACAAGGAGTGCACCCTTAGTGTGGGGGCAGAGAGAGAGAGAGCACATTGTCTGCAGGAGTCAGCTGAATGATCTCACAGACCCCACCTGCTGGGCTCTTCCATTTTATCACAATTATTCCGCCTGTTCACGTGCAGAGAGAACACTTGGGGCAGATTTTAAGACCTTAGAGAGTAACTTGTTTACAAATAAAATATCTCTTTGATGATGTATTTGGATTCCATGTCATTTTGCCACATTTCTCTTAATTTACTGGACACCAACAATGATATAAAAGTTAAGATTTTAGGAAATGTAGAAAATTTCTAAATAAAAATCAAAAAAGAAAATAAAACAACAAAATGAAGAGCTGCCTGGGAGAGATGAACCCATGGTCCCCGTCTTCACGCTAAGATGCAAAAGAGCAGAGCTTCCAGCTTCCAACTGGAGCTCCCACACAAAATACTGGGGAAATCTTCCTCCTTCCAACAATGGTCTTCCTATTGATCCTGAGACCTTGCTGGCAACCAGCCGTGTCTCTGCCCCTCTTTCTGTGCTCTCGTGACTCATCCCAGCTTCTCTCTCTGTGCCCCTTTCTTGTTCCCCTCTGCCCATTTCTCTTTTTATCTGAATCCCCAGATGCCCCTGCACAATCTGAGTGTGCAGAGTGGCCCAGCCCTCCCTAGGAAGGGAAAGCACTGGCCCCTTGCTTGGAGAGAAGGCAGAGACTGCTCTCCCACAAGACTGTAGTGCCCTAAAACCCCCTGATCAGCTCACACCTTGTTTCCTGGTGGCCAGGCCAATGATGAGGTTCACCACAGCCTACCTCAGCCAGGGACCTTATGACTTAATAGGGGAAGAGCCACAGAATATAGCCACATATATGGGCAGAAGTCCTGAGATATCCATGGGGCTGGATACTAAAGGGTCTCCATTTCCAAGTAGAACCTAAGGTTAGATGAGAGAGGTTTATTATCAATGCAGGAGGATCCTCACAGGATACAGGATTTAACAGCCTAACAGGGATTCCAGAAGATAGTTCAAATCAGATTCAAGGTAAGCTCCTGTAAGTATGGAAAAAGTGACAACTCCCCACGAAAGACAGAGGTGAGAAGGCTCAGAGAAGTGGATATGCTGGGGTGGATACACTCTGTAAATCCAGAAAAATCTACCTGCTGCCTATTTTTCAATTGTTCAATTTGCCTGTTAAATCATCTGGGCCTGGTCATGCTAAATTTTTTTAACTACCAATTTTGATTTACTTAATGATTGTAAATCTGGTTTATCCATTTCTTCTGTTTTTTAATTCACTCTGCATTGATATTTATACTACAACTCTCCAAACACTATTTCACAAATCAAGCTTCTATAGCAAAAGTAGGAAAACGTTTTAAGAAATTTTATTTTACTTTGTCAATGACCAAAAACACACAAGACTGGCATCCTCACCCAATTTCTCTAGACTTTGTTTCTGGGATCATCAGCTATCACATGTTGTATTAGTCCGTTCTCACGCTGCTATAAGACAGCCTAAGACTGGGTAATTTATAAAGGAAAGAGGTTTAATTGACTCCCAGGTCTGCAGGGCTGGAGTGGCCCCAGAAAACTTACAATGCCAGCAGAAGGGGAAGCAAACACCTTCTTCTTTACATGGTGTCAGCAAGGAGAAGGGCAGAGTGAAAGGGGACAGGGGGAAGCCCCTTTTAAAAAACCATCAGATCTGATAACAATTCACTATCACAAGAACAGCATGGAGGCAACCTCCCCCATGGTTCAATTACTTCCCACCAGGTCCCTCCCACAACATGTGGGGATTATGGGAACAACAATTCAGGATGAGATTTGGGTGGGACACAGCCAAACCATATCACATGTCTTCAATTTCTGCCTCCTAAAAATGACATCTTTGCCAGGTGTGGTGGCGCACACCTGTAATCTCAGCAGTTTAGAAGGCTGAGGCAGGTGAATCACTTGAGGTCAGGAGTTTGAGACCAGCCTGACCAACATGGTGAAACCCCATCTCTACTAAAAACACAAAAAACTTAGCCTGGTATGGTGGTGTGCACCTGTAGTCCCAGCTACTCAGGAGGCTGAGGCAGGAGAATTGCTTGAACCCAGGAGGTAGAGGTTGCAGTGAGCTGATATCACATCACTGCACTCCAGCCTGGGTGACACAGCGAGACTCCATCTCAAAAAACAAAACAAAACAAAAAAATGACATGCTCAACCTTGGTCTTTCCTCAACTGTCAACTCTGAGTGCTAAGAACCTAAAAGATATCTCTGCTTTACTGCACAGCAAGGTCTTTGTTGTGAGTTGGGTTGTGTCCTCTCAAAATTTGTATATTGAAGTTCTAACCCCCAGTATCTCAGAATGTGACTTTCTTTGGAAATAGTGTCTTTATAGAATTAAAATGAGATCATTAGGGTGGGCCCTAAGAGGATATTAGGGCACGGACACTCACAGAGGGACAACTGTGTGAAGACACAGGGAGAAGACAGTTATCTACAAACCAACAAGAGAGGCCTCAGAAGAAATCAACACTGCGGACACCTTAATGTCAGAATTTTGGCCTCCAGGACTATGAGAAAATAAATTTTTCTTGTTGAAGCTTCCCAGTCTGTGATACTTCGCTATTGCAGCTCTAGCAGACTAATACACCCTTCAAATTCACCAGGGCCAAATTGAACCCACCATTCTCCTCTAAAAATTTCTTTTGCTTTCACCATTTTGTTTAAGGTCCTCACTCTTCCCATCACTCAAACTCTGAAAGTTCTTTTCCCATAGTGAAAAGGCCTAATGAAGGTGTTTCCCCATGGATTCTTTCCTTTTAGTTCTGTCTTGTGGACTGCAGCTGACTCAGCCCTGAGGGTGCCCTTGATGTCCCCGCTCAATTAGCATCTCTACCATTTCACCATTGCTTGCATGAGACAGTCGAAGGGTCATGAAAGCTTCTGTGATCTGGAAGACGTATTCTATAACAGTAGCGTTTCACAGCAGAAGCCAGACTTGCAACATTGCAAAGATCATGGGATTTGGAAGCAGAAAACCTGAGTTTCTATTTGGACTCTGCCACTTACCAAGTGTAGAACTTTTGGAAAAACCTTGGAAAGTCTTCCTATCTCCATTATGGATCAAGAGTGTGACCTTGGTTCACCCTCTCACCATTCTTTCCTTAATTTTTTTTTCTTATAAATAATAGCTTCCACCTTCCACCCTGCAGAGCAATTGTAAACTTCATAACACATGCGAAGCGCTTGACTCAAAAAACAGGAAGCACTAAGGACTGTTAATTTAACTGGCATCTCATTACTTTTATAAGAAAGCCTAGCATAAAGAAAAGGTGTGTCCACTGTTATGGGTTGAATTGTGCCCTCCCAAGAAAGATACATTGAAGCTCTACTCCCCAAACCTCAGAATGTGCCCTTATTTGGAAATAGCAGCATTGCAGATGTCATTAGTTAAGACAAAGTTATACTAGAGTAGAGCAGGCCCTAATCCAATACGGCAGGTGTCTTTACGAAAAGATAGCATGTGAAGACACAAACATACAAAGAGAAGGCAACCATGTGGTGACAAGAGGAGAGACTGGAGTGATGCTCCTGCAAGCCAAGATTGCTGGCAAACCACCAGAAGTTAGGAAGAGGCAAGGTAGGATTCCCTTACAGGTTTCAGAGGGAGGGTAGCCAGCTGACACTTTAGACTGCTAACCTCCAGAGTTATGAGACAATAAGTTCCTGTTGTTTGAAGCCGCCCAGTTTGTGGTACATTGTTGCAGCAGCCCTAGGAAACTGATACATCTACACAATGCAATGTCCTTCAGCCATAAAAAGGAATGAAACACTGACATTGGCTATCATGTGGATGAAATGTGAAAACAGCATGTTCAGTGAAAGAAGCCAGGCACAGAAGACCACATATTATATAATTCCATGTATGTAAAGTGTCCAGAATAGGTGAATCCATACAGACTAAACACAGATTAATGGTTGCCAGGGGCTGCAGGAGGGGAGAATAGGAACTGACGGCTAATGAGTATAAGCTTTCTCTTAAGGGTGATATAAGTGATCTGGAATTAGATAGCAATGATAGTTCCAAATCTTGTGAATATATTTAAAATTAAATTGTGTAACTTAAAATGGTGAATTTTATGTGGAATAATAGCAATAAAATTCAATAGAATAAAACAAAATGAACGACATGAAGCCCAACACCTCACTGGAACATGCAAAACCCTTCCTTTATTCTCTGGTGGATCCCATTTCTCGCCATTGTTCAGTGCTCTCTATGCCCCACCATGCTGTCCTACTCTCTTCATCCTCTGCCTTCTTCCATGCTGTCTGCCTACCTATAGTCCCTCTTTCCCCACGCCCTGTTTTGTTCCTGTGCTGCCCCTTTCTCACCCTGTACTCTTTCACTTTGAAGTCACTGCCCCAGAACCTTCTCTTTCACTCCACGATTGGGTTGTGTTGACCCACTTGCACATCATATGTTTCTGAGGGCAGAAATGTTGGCCCATAATTACAGTTGTCTGGTTATGTCTCTGTCTCCCTCACTAACATGCAAGCCCTACAGAAGCAGGAGCTGTGTCCAGCATGTTCACCAGGGTATCTTCCAAGTGTATCACATGATACTAGGTGCTCCGTAGACACCTGCTCAATGTCATATAGGTTCTTGGTCTTCTCTTCCAAATAAGGTAGAATAGTTATTTTTCATTTTACAGGTGAGAACATTCAAGTTGAAAGAAATGAAGAGAATATTTGATGTCCCGCAATACAGGGGAAAGCCGTTACTGCATCCCAGGAATGTTTGACCATAAAGCCCTTCCTTGCCCACTAGGCCAGGTATGTCCCATCATAGAGCCCCTCACCCCACTTGCAGGTTACCCTTCCAAAGTGCTGTTCCAAAAGAGCTCACCGAGACAAGGTGATATTGGAGAAGTGATAGACACATAGATCTATGGAAGACATTGGGAAGCTTGGGAATAAACCCACACAATTATAGCTAATTATTGACAAAGGAACAGCAGCAATTCAACAGAGAAAGGAAGGTCTTTTCAACAGTGTTAAAACAATTGGACAGTCTTTTTTTATTTTTTAGTTTTTGGTTTTGTTTTTGTTTTTAAGACGGAGTCTTGCTCTGTCATCCAGGCTGGAGTGCAGTGGCAATCTCGGTTCACTGCAACCTCCGCCTCCTGGGTTCAAGCAATTCTCTGCCTCAGCGTCCCAAGTAGCTGGGATTACAGGCGCCTGCCACCAGGCCCGGCTAATTTTTTGGATTTTTAGTAGAGATGGGGTTTCACCATCTTGGCCAGTCTGGTCTTGAACTCCTGACCTCGTGATCCACCAGCCTCGGCCTCCCAAAGTGCTGGGATTACAGGCGTGAGCCACGGCACCCAGTCAACAATTGGACAGTCTTATCCAGAATAATGAATCTTGATCTAAACCTCCTAATTTAC